>NC_000009.12:39555454-39706969 GCF_000001405.40 Homo sapiens | reverse complement strand
ACCCAGAACCCACTAGATGCTTAGATGGATATGTGGACACATAGGTACATTTATTGTAAGAAATTGCTTTATGTGATTACAGAGACTGAGGAGTCCAAAATTTGCAGTTGGCAAGCTAGAGACCCAGGGAAGTTGGTAATGTAGGTCCACCCCAATTCCAAAGGCCTGAATACCAGGAAAGCTGATGGTGTAAGTTCCAGTCCCAGTCTGAGTCCAAAGGCAGAAGGACACTGATATCCTGTTCAAAGACTATCATAGAGAAACAATTATTTATTACTCAAACTTTCATTCCATTCAGGCCTTCAAGGAACGATATGAGGTCCACCTACAATGTGGAGAGCAATCTGCTTTACTCAGTCGTACCTGGGAGGCTTCAAGACTTCCGAGGAGGGTGTTAAACTTCCTTCAGACATGGAATTAAATTTTGATTCAATTTTATCCAACTGTCTTGGGAAAAGGGGAATGCTTCACCTACTGGATGGTTTAAATTATTTTGTTGTAATCATTATAAAAATGTGTACATCTGTGGACAAAAAGAAACAATGAATGAGCCAAATACATACTTGGAAATTCACAAAAATGTTAGTTTTATATAGACATAATCTGATAAGCTTGGAAATTTTAAAAAAATGCTTTTCGAATAAGCTCAGTGTTTACAATAGTCTTGTTTCTTTTACTTGTCAAAGGCTCTGCTATCTGAAAATATTCAAACCATGAGTTTCATGGGCCCTGCCTGTGAGAAAATGTGCATTTTCCACATAAAATCCATTTCCTTGTCAGATAATTTACAACTCACCCTGTTTAAACAGACTCTGTATTTAAAGCTAGAAGATTTATCACACAGCAAGTTCAACCTCAGGAATTCCATATAAGTCCACAAGCACATGTGTCTAAAAACTGTTGAGTAAGTAAATTCAATGATGAAAACTGTAATTTATATCAAGGATGAGAAATACTCTCTTTGTAGGTCTATTGTCAATGACTAATATATGAAGAATTAATGCAGTTGATCATCTAAATAATGCTACACATGTCTGTTTCCATTGGCCTGTGGACAAGAACATGTGTCAGTAAAAAAAAGAGTTTTGAAATAAATCTCAGATATTATGATTGTTTCATTTTCTCTAATAAAATGTGAACATTTATTCATTCTTGGAAAATAATTTTGAATAGAGGTATATTCAGGTATATGTGTTATATTCCTTTATTGTTAACTTTATAGGCATTAGTTTCGTTAATTAAATATAATGTGGCTTTGGTGGAATGAAAAAACACTAGCCTGAAGCTGAACTGGTCACTTTTCAGTTTTCTGTTTGGTGGGTGTGGACAGACATGATGTAATTCTTTGGAGAATTGAGACAACTTGGGAGATTTACAGGGCACATATGATTGTATTTCCATTAGTGAAATTGTCACACATTAAAGACAGAGTAGGCATATTAGAGCTAAAATGTATTCAAAGGACCTTTATCAAATAAATGTCAGTTGTGGAAATAAATGTTAAGTTGGAATATGTGAAAGACAAATGGAAAATAAAGGGAGACCATTCATTCACGGACAGGTAGAGAAACATTCAGTGAAAGCTAAAAAGATTGAAATAGGGTCGGCTGGGTGCAGTGGTTCACGCCTGTAATCCCAGCACTTTGGGAGGCCGAGGTGGGTGGATCACGAGGTCAGGAGATTGAGACCATCCTGACTAACACGGTGAAACCCCGTCTCTACTAAAAATACAAAAAAAAAAAAAAAAAGAAAAATTAGCCGGGCGTGGTGGCAGGTGCCTGTAGTCCCAGCTACTCCGGAGGCTGAGGCAGGAGAATGCCGTGAACCCAGGAGGCGGAGCTTGCAGTGAGCCACGATCACACCACTGCACTCCAGCCTGGGTGACTGAGCAAGACTCCGACCGTCTCAAAAAAAAAAAAAAAAAGTTTGAAATAGAGTCATGAAAGGCGTTAGCCGGGCGCGGTGGCGGGCGCCTGTAGTCCCAGCTACTCGGGAGGCTGAGGCAGGAGAATGGCGTGAACCCGGGAAGCGGAGCTTGCAGTGAGCCGAGATTGCGCCACTGCAGTCCGCAGTCCGGCCTGGGCGACAGAGCGAGACTCCGTCTCAAAAAAAAAAAAAAAAAAGAAAGAAAAAGAAAGGCGATTTATTTGTTTTCAGATAAGTGACATTTAGATAACAATTTGAAACGTTGATAGAAAGTTCCAGTAGGATGGGAATTATTGAAAGAACAAGAGAGTAGGGAAATAGTTGACAGGAGATGCCAGGAGGTGGACGGAGAGCACAAGTAGACAGATTTTACTTTCCCGGAGGGATTCCTCAACTGGATTGGAAGGGAAGGCAACAAAAAGTGACTGGGACATAGCGTGATTTTAAAGGCAGAATACATCAAAGTCTGGGGGTAGTTGATGCAGAAGACTTTGAACAAATGTGAATATGTCTTTATGGAATGTTCCCATCCTGCACCAATATAAGTGTGCTGCTAAACCAGAGAGAGCTCTCTGGAAGGGACTTCCTTGCTAGTGTTACAAGAAAGGGGTCCCTATACAGACCCCAAGAGAGGGTTCTTGGATCTCGTGAAAGAAAGAATTCAGGGCCAGTCCACGGTGCAAAGCAAAAGCAAATTTATTAAGAAAGTAAAGTGGCGAAAGAACAGCTACTCCATAGACAGAGCCAGGAGTTCCCAAAAGGAAGAAGAGGAACGCGTCCACCCTAGGTACAACGCTTGTTTATATATAGGATAAATAAAGATCATGGGAAGATGTGCTATGCTACAAGGGTTTGTGATAAAGGATTAATTTTCTTATGTTTTGCAAGGATCGATATTATTATCTTTAAAGCAAAATTAGGAATGCTTCTGTTCTCAAGATATCAGGATATCAAGACAATCCCAAGTCTGGGCCTGTTTAGTAAACATTATCAATCTGTTCTCTTAGCAGTAAACATCTAGAGGCTAGGAATGCCTAACTTTCTATGAATGCAGCCCAGCAAGTCCCAGCCTTATTTTCTTAGCCTTCACTCAAGATGGAATCATTCTGGCTGGAAAGCCTTTGACACTAGGAAAAGCACAAATTGTATAAGTGGAACAATTTGGAAACAAGAGTCAGGTAGTCTTTCTTTAGACACAACACGACTTTGACATAACAATTGCAAATAATGCTTTGCAACCACGTCAATAGTGGTATCTTGAGGGGAACTACAGAATTTGAAAATAAATGTACTCTTTACCTAATTACTAATTTTTTTCATTTATTCTTATGTCTTACAAATATGATTATATTTGTTTAGGAATAAAAATTTGTTTCTTAAGGAATTCATCTATTTTTGTTGTAGTTCCCATTGGAAAACACATTTTTTTTTTGTTAGAATAGTATAATCCCAATAAGTGACCTGTATTCATGAAGGCTAAGAATAGAAACAAGTAATGGTAGCTCAGAGGCTCAGGTTGGAACATAATGGCTCTGCCTCCTGAGAAGACGGAAGGTCTAATATTACATTAGACCACATGTGGCATCTTTATATTTGCTAAGGGATAGTTAGTGCTTGCATTTCTCAAAACAGTCTTACATTATCACAATCTGCTTTCAACTAGTTCAAAATTCAAGCTTAGTGGATTTTTTTCCACAGTAGTCATGCTAATGTAAATAGCACATTTGCAGTGAAAGTGTTCCGGTTTTATTCGTAAGATGTTTTAGGGCAGTGCTTCTCAAATTGTAATGTGCAAGATCCTTATGATCATGTTAAATGCAGATTCCAAGTCAACGTAGGTGTAAGTAGGGAAGTCTGCATTTCAAACAAGCTCCCAAGTGAGGTTGGTGCCTTGCATAGTAAAGTTGTCGTTTGCAGTTAGATACCCGCTTACCAACAGAAAGTGACCAGTTAAGAAGAAACACATGCTCACCAAATGCTTATCTCAATAAATTTCTTTACACAGACTTATTAAAATCAACTTAACATACGATACACATGACACATATAACATACCTGTCTTTAGAAAAATAAATTTATTGTTTTTTTGTCTGCCATATATGCCAAATAAATGGAAAACTGAAGATAATTTTTTTGGTTAAAATGTGGTGTTCGCATTAAAATTAGTTTGAAGGGTATTTTTCTGAAAAAAGAATCTCTCTTTCTCCATATATATAATATTTAACATTTAACTTTAATTTGAAGTAACATTTGCAAGAACCATGCTGTAAGGTAGTTTCCAGGGACCAAATTGTTAAAATAGATGTTTGTAATCAATACTTAACTGATGTGAACGTTTTGTATTATGACATTAAAGAGGGAATTCTTATTTGAACTCTGCATTAGCTGAAAGTTCAGTGCATTCTGTAGCTTTCATATGAATTTATTCCACTACATTAGGTTCTAGATTTTAATATTTGTAGAGTTGGCTGCATGCAGTAGGGAAAATGTCTTTTGCTCTTAGAAGTCATGAGAACTAAGGAGTCACAAGGTGATTTAGTGCATTTAAGCCAGATTTCATCCTGTGAAATCCAGGAGCAGATTTTTTTTTTTTTTTTTTTAGCCAAAATTAGTTACTTTAAGAAACAAAGAATAGAAATTCCTTTAACAAAGAAAATTCTGTCTGGTAATCTAGTTGACATAAAGATAATAAGATATTGAATTTTTTAATGATTTCTTTGAGTCTAGGATGTGCCCAAGGAAACCTGTCCCTTGGCAGGAAAATAGTAGACATTTTCTTGAAACTATCGACTCATGCAACAACTTGGATAAATCTCAGTGGCGTTATGGTGAGTGAACAAAGTCATTCAAAAAGTTCATACTGTATTGATTCCATTATATGACATTCTCAAAAGATAAAACTATAGGGATAGAAAATAGATCGGTGATTGCCAGTGCTTGGTGGCATAAGGGAGGCTTTGATAAAGAGGCAGCATGTGGGAATTTTTTTAGGGTGATAGAAATGTATCTTATTGTGGTGATCGTTATATATATGTCTTAGAATTTATAGAAATGTGCACCACAAAAAGGTCAATTTTACTGTATGATAATTATAAAAACAAAAGAAAATAGAAAAAAGTGTGAGACAAAAAATATTAATTTACCTCAGAAACTAAATGAGCTTTTCCCATTGTATGGAGCTGAGGATTTATGAAAATTGCTTTCTTCCATATGCAGCCAGGCATGAAGCTGACTTGTGCCTCCATTCCCTGGAAGAATCCATCGGGGAAATGGTGGTAATAGAAGATGCGACTCTGTTTGCTGGATTTAGATGCCATTACTGCAAGGGCACAGAGGGCTTCATGTAGTTGCAGACAGAAACTATAATGGAAATATTACTTAACAAGGTATCACTTTATATTTCTTCTTTCTTTTTTTTTTCTTTTTTTGAGATGCAGTCTCGCTCTGTCGCCCAGGCTGGGGTGCAGTGGCACAGTCGAAGCTCACTGCAACCTCTGCCTCCCGGTTCAAGTGATTCTCCTGCCTCAGCCTCCTGAGTAGCTGGGATTACAGGCATGTGTCACCACGCCCGGATAATTTTTGTGTTTTTAGTAGAGATGGAGTTTCACCATGTTGGTCAGGATGGTCTCGAACTCCTGACCTCATGATTGGCCCACCTCAGCCTCCCAGAGTGCTGGGATTACAGGCGTGAGCCACCGTGCTCGGCCACTTTATATTTCTTTGAATATAATATCCCAAGTAAGAATTTGGGATTGTGGACCGGGCATGGTGGCTCACGCCTGTAATCCCAGCTACTTGGGAGGCTGAGGCAGGAGAATCGCTTGAACCTGGGAGATGGAGGTTGCTGTGAGCCAAGATAGCGCCACTGCACTCCTCCAGCCTGGGCCACAGAGTGAGACTCGGTCTCAAAACAAAACAAAACAAAACAGAATTTGAGATTGTGTTTAAATATAGTAAGTACATTTGATAATCAACTGCATGGCAGTCAAATCTTAAATTCTAAAACCACTACATCTCTGAGTCAAAAAGTTGTATTTGTGGTAGTAGTCTAAAAGAAAAATTCTCACCAACAACACCTCAGGGCATTGTAAAAAGTGTTGCTGATTCTTTTCATTAGGGTGGTAATTGCTAATTAAAGCCTAATGTATAGTGGGGCTATAAGGGCTTTTTTTCCCTCCATGTTGGAAATAAGCAACTTCCCACATCAGAACGGGCAATGGAAACAACCAGAAGCCGCATGGAGATCTGGCACGGGGGCCAGCGAGGGCAGAACGGGAGTCAGCATTGCGCTCATGGCTCTCCGAGAGGGTATTGGCGGTGGAGCACCCTGAGGAAATGGGAGAGTTACCCATGAGGCCTGGTACACCAGCATTTCCTCTACCTTTCCTATATGCCAGGGGATTTACGAAAGATTTTTTTTTATAGGAACAAATAGACTATTTATATCCCCAACAATCACCTTTTTTTTTTAAGACAGAATCTCAAAGTCAGTTTTCAGAAAGTATGTGAGGATTTATTGCGTTCCAGGTAAAAGCAGCTGCCCATTATACGAAATCTTTTTTTTTTTTTTTTTTGAGACAGAGTCTCACTCTGTTGCCCAGGCTGGAGTGCAGTGGTGCGATCTCGGCTCACTGCAACCTCCACCTCCTAGGTTCAAGCGATTCTCCTGCCTCAGCCTCCCGAGTAGCTGGGATTACAGGAGTGCACCACCACGCCCAGCTAATATTTTTGTATTTTTAGTAGAGATGGGGTTTCACCATGTTCGTCAGGCTGGTGGTCTCCAACTCCAGATCTCAATGATCCGCCCACCTCGGCCTCCTGAAGTGCTGGGATTACAGGTGTGAGCCACACCGTGCCTGGTGCAACAATCACCTTTGACACTTCATATTATAGCAGAGAATGTCTTTCCTCTTGATTATTCAAGAAAAAATATATAAATGTATACATTCATTTCTATACAATTATGAGCTAAACAATACTGAATATATCTTATTAGATTTAAATAAAATTTAAGTAACAATTTTATTTCATCATTTCTAATAGTACGAGTTAAATAGATACTATGAGTAGAATTTGTTGTATGGATAAATGGAAGTAAGCATGGATATGTTTGTATATAATAAAATACAGTCAGCATGAATTTTATCCAATTTTTAAATAAACATAGAGTTATAAATTAAAATTAACCAGCCATACCAACCCATTTGAATCTATAGTTTCCTACAAGGGAATGAAAGGCAAAGTAATAGCGAGCCTCCAAATGTTTTAGTCACGCAGTGTAGAGCATCCACAAATCATCTCACCCCTCTGTCGGGGGGCGCTGTGGGGCGCCCCAGCTTCACTAGTAGTGCTTCTCTGAACTCATGCCTGCACCTTTTCTGCTGGAAGCCTGAACAATGATGCAGAGATACTGTTTTCTTTGTTGTAGAAAACAGCAGAAGGTCTGTGCTCACGAGGGCAATATTAGGTCCTCATCAGCTGTGGCTTGTTATCTCCAGCACATCAATGAATGGAGAAAATAAGATTTAAACAAAGATCAGTGTCTCCATTCTCTAACATTTTACTCAAAATATTGGTTAGGTTAGACTCCACACCCACCAAAACCCAAAACACATTCCGTCTCACAGATGCTCTACATTCTTTCAATACAGAAACCTTACGACAAAGCCTACAATATACACTTGTTTTGGTAAAATAATTGGTCCAGTTAGTAAAAAATGAGTTGAATTAGTGTTCTCCCTCTCACATATTATAACTTTTTTCAATTACAGAGATGTTTACAGAATTTATCTGAGGTGCTTTCTGTGTATCTCTGAAAACACCTTCGTAATAGTAGGCACACCCTGGTTAGTGGTTCTCGGCCCTGGCTGCTCACTGGCATCACCAGGAGAGCTCTGGACATACTGAGGCCTGAGCCCTTCCCCCAGACACTAATTTAATGGGACTGTGGTGGGGCCTGGGCATGGATGTTTTTAGAAGCATCTGCTGATAGATAAGCAATAAATACGAGTTTATTAACTACACATGGTGATTTGATTTCCTTGGATTCTTCCCTGATTTTCTGATCCATTGGCCCGTATATGAACAGGCTAACTTCTAGTGTGTGAAAAGACTGACAGGATATTAACCTGGCTAAGCGTCTTTGAAAATATAAACAGAGGGACCATGCCTGAAAAGAGTTATGAAAAAAAAAAAAAAAAACAGAAAATATGCACCTGAGAGGGGCGCAAAGGAAGCAGGCGAATGTGGGGTCTTGGAGAAGTCACTCCTGATCTTGAGTTTCTATGAGTACACATTAAAGGAAGTCATTGCAGTTTTCTATGTACTGTGCATTTGGATATTTTCACAAACCGAAACAATAATTCGCTGTTTCGGGAAGGGGAACAGATAATGTGTTCTAACGTAGCATCTTTACTTTCTCTATTATTAGAAACATTTTAAAAATCTATCTTTCTTTGGCTTGGCATGGTGGCTCACAGCTGTAATCCAGCACTTTGGGAGGCTGAGACTGGCAGATTGCTTGAGGTCAGGAATTTGAGACCAGCCTAGCCAATATAGTGAAACCCTGTCTCTAGTAAAAGTACGAAAAACATTAGCCGGGCGTGATGGCGCATGCCTGTAGTCCCAGCTGCTTGGGATGCTGAGTCAGGAGAATCGCTTGAACCCCAGAGGCAGAAGTTGCAATGAGCCAAGATCATGCCATTGCACTCCAGACTGAGAGATAGAGCGAGACCCCATATAAAAAGAAAAAGAAAAAAATTATCTTTTTTTGGAGTTTGTCAAATGTATTACCACTTTGATTATTATTAGTGAAACTTGGTGAGTTATATCAAATGATCAGTGATAGGAGATAATATCTACAAGATTTAATGATTGACTATAGGGAAGGAGAAGAGAAAGGAATAGATTTCTAAGTCAAATTCCATTGATAATGATGAGAATCATAGGGGGAGGAGTCAATGGGTAGGAGAAAAAATATTTGGTTTAGGACATGCTGAATGTGAGGAGCCTGTGATAAAGGATAGGATAATATGAAAAGCTTCCAAAAGGAGTACACCAGATTATGAGATCTACCTTTTCCCCAAACTAATAAAGGGAAAAAATATTAACTCCATTGTTAATTCTCCATTGATCCTGATGAAACGTCAGTACTGCTGATGAGATGTAAAAATAAAAAGCAGCAAGACTAAAGTTCTCCAAGATTCCTCTAGGATATGTTTGGTGTCTGCATTTGCATTTACTGTTATTTAATCTACGTTATTCAAGATGCTTTCTATTTGGAACCCCAAAACAAATGGTTGAATGGGCTTGCTCTGACTATCTATTTCCACAGAACAACCACCCAAAATTTAGTGGCTTAAAAAATGACAGCATTTATTTTGTTTATGAATATGCAATAACTCCGCATGGTTTGGGGATGGCTCAAAGACCAGGGGCGAGGATCATCTGCAGGCTCATCCACTCACACATCTAGTGGTTGATACTAGCTGTTGGATTTCCATATGGCTCTTCAGCTTCCTCTCAGCATAGTAGATGGATCCAATGGTGAGTGTACCAGGAGAGCAGAAGGGAGCCAGGCATAGGTGTCTGGCCTTTCCTAACTGAGCTGAGGAAGTCACATGGTGTCATTTCTACCATATTACAGTCATTAGAAGTGAGCCAGTAAATCTGGCTCATATTCAAAGAGAGGGAAATTAGACTCTATTTTTAAATAAGTGTTAAAGAACTTAAGGGCATATTTTCAAACTGCCAGAGGGATCTCAGAAGGCTCTGCCACCTACAACCAACTATTTCTTTGCATTTTAATAGAATTTTTAAGAGAAATCATAGCTGAAGCTGAGGTTATATTTTGGAGTCGTCACAGTGAAAGAAATAAAGTACATGTAATTTGATATTTCAGAGCATTTTTCCCTTTGTCCAAGACTTTTTAAATTTGAAATATGGTTTTGGCAGTTTTGTAAGAGATATTACGTAAATTGAAAGGAGAAGATGAGTTTTGGGGTCAATCTTAAAAATTCATTTTGGAGAAGCACAGCATTTGCACAGCATCCCTCTGATTTCATGCCATTTGTATAAAAGAGCTGTGCTTTCCCAGGAGTGGAAACTACATTATTGGAAAAATATAGGTTCTTTAGGGTAAATGATAGCACAAAGATAGTAAATGTCTTTTCATTTGAAATAACCTTTGTGGAAATGCTATTATTCTCAATATATTGTAAAAGAGATGAATCAGAACAGTGTTAGAAACTATTTAATGGATCATCTATCTGTGACATATTATAAAGCTAACTGTTGAATTACCACTTGGCTAAAGGAGGCATCATGGCCAGAAAGGGTTCAGCTTTGGAATCCACAACCATGGTTTTGAATCTTGGTTTGACTTTTCTTTGCCGAGAGATCTTGAAGTTTTGTTATGAGGATTAGAGCACAATTCCTGGTATCTGCTCTCTGGCTGACACTCAGAAACTGAGACTTGTCATTAAGATTGTGATGGTGAGATGATGATGAGAAATTGTTTGACTATCTCAGGAATAGTAGAAATTATTAAAATATTGAATTGTACCCATGAGACCATGTGGCCAGGCAAGAAGAATGAGATAGGCCCTTTCTTCAAAGTATATGATTTTTTTTATTATTGAAGAAATTATTCATAAACACTTGAAAACAAAGCATATTCAAAGTTTTAAACTGTACCTAAAAGATAGTGCCATAAGAGTTGTGAGCTTTTGCTAAAAACTTTGACCTTAAAATGGGCAACTCATGAACTATGAATTATTTTAAGGGTCTAATTTATTGCATTTTTTGATTCATATGAATTTCCCTTGACAATGTTAATTCAGTTATCAGGGCAAATGAAAAAATAAGCTCTGTAAATTAAAATACAGAAATATTTACATATTGTGGCTTGTCTCTGGAACTTTTATAATGGGATATTATATTTTAACATAATGTTGGCATAAAATATTATAATCAAGATATCAGCAATATAGTTACAAGTTGTTCTTTCAAAACACAGGGTCATAACTCACAGGTACCTAATTTCAAAATACTTGGCATAATTTACAATTTATAAATCTATAATCTCTTTAAGGCTAATTGTTCTAATGTATAATTAATGCACTAGTGCCATGACTAACTTTTAAGAATGCTGCATTTTCCACACCAGTTTATTGATAACCTAAAATATTGCAGTCATTCTTGTAAAAAGTTGTTAAAGATGTCTCTGTAAAATATAATGGCAAATGCTGGCTATTTTATGAATGGGAATTACAATAGTAAATAGTAAAACTGAAAATATTTTCCAAGAATAAATGTGCTTCATGTGGGTTTGATCAGCACATCTGATTGAAGATTTGAGGTGAGATACATTGTCCCCATTAAGTTTAAGGGTTTCAGCGCAAAATTAGCTGATCTACTCTTTGAAACGCAGAGCATTTGTGAAAATGCCAAATGCATCTCTGTTAGAATCTCATCCATGAGCAAATGAGTAATGTAAGTCAGATACAATGGTTAATTCTGTGGTTTGCCAAATCTGTACACTTTCCTGTTACTTTGTAGATTGTAAAATAATGATGCAGCGTTCACCCTAATGATCAATTGTTTTCCTTACTAAAATGTAAGCATTTAAAAGATCTGCCTAATTTTTTCTAAGTGTATGTTAGGCAGATCTATACTTCCAACTCCTAAAGCATTCTTCTAAAGCAGTTTATTAGAGCGCACACTAATGGCTTATCAATTAAGCAAACACGATCAGTATTGAGCACTTGCTCTGCTCCAGGGTGCCGGTGCTAGGTTCACGTGCATCAGGGAGACAGAGTCATTGTCCTCATGAAGCTTACAGGGGGGCAGATTGATTGAACCGACACCTCTGATTCCCTTTTAAGCCTGTAAGCAGCTGCTCCATAAAGCACGTGTTTCAAACACAACCACCTTCAGAGACGAGGTGATTCTGTTGAGTGGGTGAAGCAGGCCAGGCATGAGGCCGCAAGCAGTGGTTTAGACCAGTTCATTGGAGAATCCCTGCCTTATTAAAAGTATTTCCTTCCAAAAATGTGAAAGGAAGACTTGTCTTTTCCCCCAAATCATTTAGAAAGCTTGCTTTGTCACCTCTGCTTCTAAGGAGTCCTGGTTGGTCTCCAAAAGGAAGCTTTCTCTAAAGAACAGTGTAGTACAAAGTAAGATGGGACAAGACTAAGGGGGCCCACTCCTGAGCTGCTCAGCCACTTGCCCACCTCAGGTAAACACTGAGCCCGGTGGTCTTTCAGTCATTCCAGGTCTGATGTTCTACAGTTTTGTCAGGTTATCTGGGAGAAATTTTGATGCTGAAGACTCCTGAAAGTAGGAGAAGCATTTCAAACTGAGGCCTAAGATGTTTTCAAGTTGTGGCAGAGTTGCCTTGAAGAAGGTAACTCGGGCTTTGCCCTTTGCCCTTTTGCCCTTTGCCCTTTGCCCTCACCTGCAGCCAGCACATCCATACCTCACCTCTAATACAGCAACCCCTGTTTGACATGTTGTATATATTAAGCTTTTACTTAAGATGTCATTTAATGAAAAAGATTTTGCTGCTTAAAAAGCAGTGGAGAATAATAGCTAGCCTCTTGAGTACACAGTCCTGTAAGATTTGAGCACATGATTTTTAGAAAAAGAATAGAAAATAAGAGAAAATTATAACCTCACTTTACCTGTCGGGATATTGACATCCCTGTCAGATTTCACAAAGCCACATGTGCATCTGGTGAAATCCCAGATCCACCCTTTCTAACTGTATGCTCTTAGGTAGCCAATTAATCTTTCTAGGACTCAGTTTTCCATTCATTAAATGGGAAACTTAACACATAGGGCTTTTGAGAGGGTTACATGAGTCAATACAAGCAGAGAACTTAGTACTTCCTCTGTCACGTAGTAAGCACTCCTTGTTATCCTTGGATTTTGTGGTACTTTGGAGGAGAATGGCACTCGGATCTCTGTTGGTATAATTTTTACCAAAGTAAAATCTGGTTGAAATAGCATTCAGATTTAGGCTTAAGGAGAGGATATTTCTTAGAAAGGAAGGCTAAGCTTAATGGGGGAAAAGAGTTATCAGTGAGGCCTTGGGGCAGGGGACTGACTCCACTGGGCATTACTTGTGCAAAAGGGATAAAATGTAGAGAGAGTTTTTTTTTCTGGTATATTATTTTATTCCATTAAAGTCAGTGTTCTACTTTTATTTTGTAAAATCATATTTCTGAGTCCTGAACAAAAGACTTTCAAGATAGATTTTACTGACAGAGAAATGGAGTGCCACATTCCATAGCTTTGCATATAGAGCTTCACATGCAAAGCTCTTTGCATCTCAAGGGCTAAAACAGGCTGACTTACAGCAAGTAGCTTTCCTGTAAACTGTAAAGTAGAAGAGAACGGAGACAGCTATGAAGGTGGGAAAAATGCCTCCTGCAGAAGAAGAGCAGACATAGGGGAGCATAAATAGTATACCCTGCCTGGACCCTGAGAAGGACCCAGACCCGCATGGTGCATATTGAGAGAGACATGGCTGTGGATGCTCATTACTTGGGATTCTCAGTGATGCCTCAATCCACAATTTTGTATTAATAAAAAAGTCTTTAAAATATTTGCATCTAGGAATCAAAGTGTCATTCAATGACTTATTGGTCCTCAAATGACAGCTTGGGGTTATACCTTATTTTCTATATCATGGAGTAACTCCTGCACTATATTCATTCTAGGAGAATTAACTATGTCAATTCTTATGTTCATCTCTTCCTTGGCTGATTATTTGTTAGGGAAAAAGCTTTTGCTTGTTTATTAACTTGTCTCCTTCCTACTCTTCTGATTATTATTTTGTAATTAAAACAGGATTTTAAAATTCATAGACACTAAAATATTCTAGACTTTTAGCACTGGTTTCTAATATTTTGGGAGGAGAAGCTTCATTTTTTCTTGAAAATGAAGGTGTAAAGATACTAAATTCCTTGAGTGGAACATCTGGGCTTCATAGAAACTTTGGAGCTATATGATAGTTAGAGAGAATGTAGACAGGGTTCCTCATTGTATAGATAATGAAACAGGACCAGAGAGGCTGAGTGACTTGTAGAAGGTCCCCCAGTGAGTAGCAGATCCTGGATGCATGCAGCATTGCTAACTCTGAGAGCTAAGTCCTCATCATGTCCCCACCTTCACCACACCACACAGTTCAGGAGAAGGGGCACATCTCTAGAATATGGCTGGAAAATACACTAGGGAAAACTTTAGATCCACTAGCAGAGTCCAGTGCTCCTCTTGGAGAAAGTGACCAGAAAGAATAAGGCACAGTTAGCTGTTGAAGAAAAGCTGATTTCTCAGCCAGATTATATACATTAGCATCCATGTTAGTTACCTTTGCTGAATAATTCTCTCCTCAACTCAGCTCTCTGAAGAAACCTCCAGGAATTAGCAGGGCTTTGAGTAGAGATGGCATATGTTTGGGCCCTGATGAAAATGATAAAATTGTGGCCTGGTTGCAGCTTGTGTGCTGAAGGAAGAGCATGATGCAGTTCATTGGTATGAAAAATGAATGCAACTAAAACCTAAACATTAAAACTTGGCCTTTATTACCAAAGTGAAAGTGCTTCTAATTGAGGCTCCCTGGGTTTTAATTGTTCTTCAGGAAAATTAGATGTTGTCAAAGTAGAAGGTTAATGTCTGTTCACAGTCTGGAGTTTTTGGAATAACTTCCTTCACAGCGTGTGTGTTTTAAACATAAAAAGGGCTTTTTGGTTTGTATATAGTTAGTGGGATTACGACTGCCTCACTAGATGCTTACAACAAATATTTAAGAAATCCATAAGTCTACTATTTATAACAGAATAAACATTTAAATGTAAGATATTTTGACCATTTTGGTAAAACATTTAAAAAATAAACTATCATGAACTGACAAAACCAACATCATTTAAAAAAATTCAACATGGCAAAAACTTTATGAGACTTATACCATAGACCAAATTTGTAACTTTAGCCTTGATACATTACTGCTTGTAAATAGAAATGTTCTTACTATGAAGTGATGTGCTCAGATACACCCAAAATTTATTAAAGGCATGTCAACAGCCAAATTCTGTGGTACAAGGTTTTTCATACATTATTTTACATAACCTTTGAGGAATTCCAATTTTATATTCCCATTTTCAGAAGAGTTGGTTAGTTACTGAATTCAACAAATGAGTGTGAGCAGGGGCCTGGAGTACTTAAAAAGAATAAACAAAATGCCTTTAAATCAGAAAGACAAAATTGCTAGTAATTTCAGTTAATTGCACTTTACTCCATGTAGCTACAATTGTAGATATCTAGAAAAAATATCTATGCTAAAAGTCTGCCATCTGGAAAAGTCAAAAGAATGATGAGCTGGTATTAAATCAAAGTAACCCTGGCATATGGAGTATCTCTGCCATGTTAAGAGCAGACCTTGGTATGAGACTGACTCTGGGCTTTACATATGAATTTGGAATTGCCAATATCTCCACTTGAACTATGTGAGACAATAAAAGTGCTCCCTTATACACTTTAGATAATGGGCCCTTTGGGGGATCCGATGTTCATTCTGCCTTTCCCAGAAAAATACAACTATAATAAAATGTTGTAATCAGTTTCAGTTTATTTATTGCTGATCTTTTATTTTTGTTTTAATTTAACATGGCAATCCACTTTCTATAGTCAAAAGTGCAATTTAAAGAACTCTAACAACTCACAATATAGAAGAATGTCTTTGGAAATTTTAGGATTCAAATCTAAAACAAATCTTAAGATTTCTTTTTCCTAGATTGTACTGATGTTACAAGTGCCTTATGTAATACCCAGTTCTTCCCCATGGAGATTTCTCAGTGAAAGAGCCACATCACATGTTCACAAGAGCATCAAGAATAAGAGGGCCACGTACCTAGGAAGAAAGATTGGCAAGCATTCTCTCTCCCCCATCAAATATAAATGGATTTAGCACAGGGATTTGGTTTAATTCACTGCTGCCAGCACCTAGAACAATGCTTGAAATTTTTAATATGACAATGCACAATTCAAGAGGAAATAATAATATTGTATTAGTCTGTTCTCACACTGCTATAAACACATGCCTACGACTTGGTAATATATGAAGAAAAGAGGTTTCATTGACTCACAGTTCCACAGGCTGTACAGGAGGCATTGCTGGGGAGGCCTCAGGAAACTTAAAATCATGGCAAAATGCAAAGGGGAAACAGGCACATCTTCACATGACTGGTAGGAAAGAGAGAGCTGGGAGGTGCTATACACTTTTACAACCATCAGGTCTCTTGAGAACTCACTATAATGAGAATAGCAATAGCAAGAGGGAAGTCTGCTCCCATGATTCAATCACCTCCTCCAACATTGTGGATTACAATTCGATATGAGACTTGGGTGGAGACACAGAGCCAAACCATATCAAACATTAGTACGTGAAAGTAGTTATTATGATAAAACATATTTTAACCAACATACAATTAGTTATATGATTTTTATAATGTTTTCAGTGTTAAAATTTTTGAAAAAACTGCAGAAAAACAAGTGGAAGTGAACAAAATTACATTGACAGTAGTAAGTTGTAATGTTTAATTCTTTTAATGTTTCAGTGGGAGCTAGAAATTGGTTTGATATACTTTTTAGTTCAGTTGGAATACTCCACTTCTCCACTTTGCCTAATATATGCTGCAGCAATAAATTAATTTTCCTTCTGAGATTTCTAATAATTTGGGGAGTGCTTATTTGCAAAGAATTGAAAAAAAAGTGACACAAATTGATATATCATGCAAACTATGTGGTTTTGTATTTTCAACTAATTGCTGAAGAGCACTTATACGCAAAAAATATCAGATTCCTCAAAGAAGAGATATTTAAGGCAAGTAAAGAAATGTATAGGTCAGTTTCCTTCAAATAATTTTATTTCTTACTCTTAAAAATCTTTTATTTCAGATTCAGGGGCTACATGTGCGGGTTTGTTACATGGGTGTATTGCATGGTGCTAAGGTTTGGGCTTCTATTGATTCCCTTACCCAATACTAAACATAGTACCTAATTGGTAGTATTCAAACCCTGCTGCTTTTTCTCCCACCCTATTTTTGGAGTCCCCGGTGTCTACTGTTCCTATCTATATTTTCCAGTGTTTAGCTCCCACTTATAAGTGAGAATATGCAGTGTTTGTTTTTCTGTTTC
The DNA here is from genome assembly GCF_000001405.40 of Homo sapiens. NCBI lineage: Eukaryota > Metazoa > Chordata > Mammalia > Primates > Hominidae > Homo > Homo sapiens. The sequence continues at coordinate 39,689,845 of NC_000009.12, read as the reverse complement.
TGCTTTAATTTGCTTAGGAAGTGGTCCCCAGCTGCATTCATGTTGCTGCAAAGGACATGATTTTGTTCTTTTTATGGCTGTGCAGTATTCCACCGTATATATGTACCACATTTTCTTTATCCAGTCCATTGTTGATGGGCACCTAGGTTGATTCCATGTCTTTGCCATTGTGAATAGTATTTTGATAAACATATGAGTGCAGGTGTCTTTTTGGAAGAATAATTTATTTTTCTTTGGGTAGCTACCTAGTAATGGGATTGCTGGGTCAAATAGTAGTTTTATTTTTAGTTCTCTGAGAAATCATCAAACTGCTTTCCACAGGAGCCAAATTAATTTACATTCTCTCCAACAGTTTATAAGTATTCCCTTTCTCTACAGCCATGCCAATATCTGTTGTTTTTTGACTTTTTAATAAGAGCCATTCTGACTGGTGTGAGATAATATCTCATTGCATCTTTTTGATAATTAACGATGTTGAGCATTTTTTTCATATGCTTCTTGGCCACTTGTATGTCTTCTTTTGAGAAATGTCTGTTCCTTTTGCCCACTTTTTAATGAGGTTATTTGGGTTTTCTGTTGATTTGTTTAAGTTCTTTATAAATTCTGGATATTTGTTTTTTGTTGGGTACATAGTTTACAAATATCAAATATTTTCAATCTGGAAACTTGGATCTTTTATTTTTATGATGATAAATTGAGGCATATTGCAAGAAAAACATTTGAATCAGAATATTTACCAATATTATCATAATAGTGAATTATATTTTTACTTGTCCCTACATTTTGGTAATAACAATTAAATTTTGCTAAATAATAATTAAGTGCTGGTCCAAGATGGTGGACTGATTATTCTTCCAGGGGGCCAATTTCAATGACAATAAATGAGAAAATGATGTGAATCAGTAACAATACTAATTTAAGCTAATTTCTATATTTCTATAGTGTACATGTTCTTTGAAGCAACAAGTATCTATCACTGTAAGAATAAGACATTTGGAAAATGTCTTATATATATGAGATATGTCATATATATGTATGTAAATAAACCATAACGTTTCTGTGGTATATGATGTGAGCTATTTTCAAATATGTGAGTTCCAACCTCCCTCTGTTAAGGAACATTTAACTTTCAGTGATTCATGTCACTTCTGAGACCAACTGTCCCCAGCCTCTGAGATTCAGATAAAAACAAGTATCCTTAGCTCTAGATTAATCCAATGGCACTGAGCATCTATGGTGATGAAAGATATATTTTCAGTAGTCATTTTACCAAAGATGGTGCTGTGAAAACCATCAAAATATAAATCATGGCCTTAACCATCTATCTGAGAAGACAAGACTAATACACTTGAAACACAAGAAACAAATGCAAGAGAATATAAATATACTTGTCATTGAATTTTGCAATACAGCCTACGAATGTTATAGAGGCTCATCTAAATGAGGAAGTCAATGATGCATAGTATAATCAAGATATGCTTCCTAGAATACATTGTGTAGATGGATTTGAATAGGCAGATGGATAAAGATGAACATTTAAGACATGAGCAAATGCCTACACACCTGAAAAAATGTGGCAAGTCTGTATAGGAGAGAAGAACATCTCTGAGGGCTTGAGCTACAGTGTGATAAGGAGCTCATTTGAATAATCTGGTGGAATCAGATGGGCTATGGAAGCCTGATGGAGTAACACAAGCAGATAATCAGCAAAGATGCTTATCAGCTCTAAGAAGGACTAGAAAAAAATTTCAGAATATAAACCAAGGAAATAATTTTTAAATGTATAAAATTTAACCTAAATATAATTCTATAATGTAAACAGAAAAAAATAATTGACTGGAAACTATTTTCATCAAATATGAACATTATAAATTACTCTCATGGGTTACTCAATGTACTTTAAATTTTAGACATTTTAAAATGATTCAATTTTTAAATTTGTCTTTAAATTTATATATAATATATTTGAGATATAAAAAAACCAAACTATTTTTCTTAGTCTCACACACTCACCACTCAATACATTACTTCACCTCTGGTCACCAAAATATGTATGGATTTTTCCCCGCATGCAAAGGAATTCTCCAGCAGACACCACCAGGTTGGCCTATTATTGAATTCAATTCTGACACTATCTACTTGGATATAGGGTCAGATCCCACACAGTAAGGGCACAGTCTCACAGGACTTCCCTTCACTTTAGATGCCAATTGCAGGTCCCAGAATGTGACCTGTACTTCTGGCCAACTGGCTATAAATTGGAGGTTCCCATTACCCCCTGTTTAGGTTCAATTAATTTGCTAGAATGGCTCACAGAAATCAGGGAAACACATTATTTACATTTACTCATTTATTACAAAGGATGTTACTAAGGAAAGTAATGAACAGTTAGGTGGAGAAGCTGCATAGGGCAAGCTTGTCCAACCTGCCTTATTTTGTTGAGGTTGTTGTTGTTGTTGTTGTTGTTGTTGTTGTCCTGTTTTGTTTTGCTTTAGACTTTTAGCAACCTGAAGCCATGGTTTTTAGTTTCTGTCTATAGTGATAAGCAGAAAAGAGGAAGGAGGAAGGGGCTTTACTGGCCCAACTGGGAACAGAAACTAAGAACCCATGACTGTATTCCCTCCCTTGGACATCACTGAAGGCATGAGAGAAGGTGTAGGGAGCTTCCGTGCCCTCTCTGGTATGCCACCCTCAGGTACCTCCATGTGTTCAGCAATTCAGAAGCTCTCCAAACTGATTTTGGGGTTTTATGAAAGCTTCATTATGTAGAAATGATTGATTACCTCATTGGCCATTGGTAATCAACTAAATTTTCAGCCCCTTTCCTCTTCCTGGGGAATAAGGGGTTGGGGCTAAAAGTTCATATCCTCTAATTACATGGCTGGTTTTCATGGCAATCAGCTCCTATTCTAAGGCTATCCAGGAGCCTACCAAGAGTCACCTCATTACAGCAAGAGATGCTCCTATAATCCAGGATATTCCGGGGATGTAGGAGCTCTGTATCAGATACTCCTATCACTCAGGAAATTAAAAAGTTCTTCGGAGCTCTGTGTCAAGAACCAGGGTCAAAGACCAAATATAAGAACAAAAGATACTCCTAGCATCCCTATCTGCAAGGGTTTTAGAAGCTCTGTCTCAGGAATCAGGGACAGAGACCAAATACATAATTTTTATTATATCACAATATCACATGGCATAATTCACTTTTATATTTTGTATATAGTTCAATAAGTTTTACCAAATGCATGAAGTAATGTAGCTACCACTACAATCAGTAACACAGAATAGTCTCATCACCACAAAACAACTCTCTCTGGAATCCCCTTTGTAAGCACTCTCTACTGATATGTAACCTCTAGAAACCACTGATCTGTTTTCTGCTCCTATAATCTGGTGTACTTCAGAGTCTCAGAAAAATGTGATAATAGGAAATGAATGATAAAAAGCTATAAAACCTACAGAAAACAAATAGCAGAGTGCCAATAGTAAGTTCTTCCCTTTAAATGTAAATAGATTAAACTCTGCAGCCAAAAGATATAGATTGGCAGAATGGATTTTTTTAAAAAAAATCCACACAGGATCCAACTCTATTCTGTCTATAATAAACTCACTTTAACCCTAAGTACAAGCACAGGTTGATAGTGGAAATACGGCAAAATATATTCTATGCAAATAGTAATAAAAAGAAAGAAGGGTGCCTATACTATCAGCCAAAATAGACTTTAAGTGAAAAACTCTTATAAGAGACAAGGAAGGGCATTATATAATGATAATAGAATCAGTTCACCAAGAAGACATAACAGTTTTAAACATATATGGACCAAACACCAGAGCTTCAAAATATATGAAATATTTTCCTAAATCAGAGTCATGGTTATTTTCTCCTAGATTATCTTGTAAAGTTTTATAATTTTACATTTATGTCTATAATCCATTTTTAATTTTTTATAAAGAGGGAGTTATAAGTAGAGGTTTATTTTTCACATAAGATGCCAAATTATTCCAGCACCATTTATTAAAAAGAAAATTCTATCTGTTCTTTGATCTTTATCAAAGATCAATTGACCATATATGTGGGCATCAGTTTATGGATTCTCTATTCTGTTACATTGACCTGCATGACTATCTTGATTACTGTAACTTAAGTCTTAACATCAGATAGTGTGATTCCTCTAACTTTGTCATTTTCAAAATTATTTTAGAATTTTTGCCCCTTTACCATGCCCTATACAATTTAAGAATCAGTTTGTGCTTTATCAGGATAAGAAAATTGCCTTTATTTGTACTTTGCTGAGAGTTTTCATAATAAGTGGATATTCAATTTTGTCAAACATTTTTATGTACCTAGTTGTGTGACTGTTAGATTTTATCAAAGCATTGCAAGAAAATTGCTATGAGTAATGCAGAGGATTAGCTCTTCTTGTTATTCCCAGATCAGCCCTATATTTTGACTGGAATTTTTCATTTCACTAATATGTATCTAGAGGACTGTATATTCTTCCCTATTTATTTAAGCAATTATTTATATACATTTAGAATTAAAAATAATTTAATACTTTGGGATATAATTCAATACTACTTTGTTTATTTTATTGCACAAATTGTTCTAGTTTTGGCCACTGGGAGTTCTTTCTGTTGGCTCCTGTATTCCTTTGATATACCACCATCATTGAGGGTTTTTTAAATGTGGTTTATTATTAATGAAATTAAAATGATCTATTCATAGCACCTGAGATGATTTCAGATATCATATTATGCAAGCATTAAGATAATATTAAGAATTAGACTGGTAAATGAAAATCATAGAATCAGAGTACTTACTCAATGTCAAGTTTTGCTAATAATTGCAATGACACAAGCAGTTATATGACACAAGTGAAGCAGAAAGTGTTCTGGGACCCCAATGTGACTTATTGGGTCATTTCTTCTCACATGAGATGTGTTCTGGTACAGATCTTGCACAGAAGAAGCCACTTAGGTCATGAATTACTGAGTTACATAGTTTATGTGACATTTTCCTTGGAGCCATCCCCTGTAAACCTAAAGATTCCAGGTCTATTTACACAGGTGATTCTAGATAGGCAGCTATATTTTACTATATGTATTTCATAGTTCTCTCTTGCTAGCCAAGGTCACATACTTTGTTTGCCAGGAGAGCTGCCATTATAATGTTTACAAGGCAATTAGACAAGATAATATGCTTTCTTTCTTCCTTTGATGCATCACGCAAACTCTGCCATGAGAGAGAAGGGCATGCAGGTCTACTTCATAAGTCCTTTCTTTCTAGATATTCTGGTACAGTATTTTAATGTATTTTATGATACAGATACTCTAGCATTTAATATATTTTAATGTATCATGTTTAATATAAGCTCGATAAAGAATCATCACTTCACATACTTTGGATAATAATTGTACACAGTGCAAATTCATGGAGAAAATAATCAGAACCATTAATGCTGATAATTTTGGGGCATTTAAACCTTTTTCAGGTCAATGGATTAATAGATTTATTAGCTCTTGCAGAGTGCAAGCATATTACAGATTTATAGTATAAGTGGTTAAAAACATTTTTATTTCACTGAAAATTCATGTAAAGTGAAGCTTTTGCAAAACTGTAACCTTTATGCTTTTAATAAAACAGTATTTCTGTTGTACATGATAATGATTTTGTTCTGGAACACTATGTATAAGCAGATTTTGAATTGAAGGCAGTGGAGCAAGTCTGTCAAAAATCAATTCAATTGATTTCCATTTATGTAGATGCATTGAGTTTTACAGTGGTTGAAGCTCTCTTTAAATTGATTGGATTCAGAATGCAGGCCAGTGGTCCGCATCCATATTCTACACCGTTTCTCCAAAACTTGGTAAAGAAAAATGCTTTAGAAACTTTCCTGAACAAATAATATAAAGATCATACCAACTATATGTTAACCAATTAGTTATGAAATCTAAAATCATTAGGGTTACATTTCAAAAGTGAAGTTACTAAAAAGGTGAAATTCAAATCTAATAGAAATAGGGTAAAATGCAGAACATTTATGAAACATAAAAGAGGGACTATCTGTGTTAGCAATTAAGGGCTGTAGCAATTTCTGATATCAGATTCCAAATTTGAAGAGATCCAGACACTTCATACACAGGTTTATTTTGCCCTAATATTTTGTCTTATTGAGAATTGTGGTAAAGAGAGAAGACCTGAGTTTCATTCTTATAATGGTTTGAGACATGAGGAAGTCACTGAACATTTCTGGACGTAACTCACTTGCATGATTTCAACTATCACATATACTTGGATGCTTGAATTACAAACCTATGTAGACTAGACTTTCCTGCTAAGCTGAAAAGCTGTATATGAACATTTCTTTCATGTTAGCTCCAGTTGACTGTTTCTCAGGTACTTTCAATTTCACATGTCCCAAATTTTTCTGATTTTCCTCTGGCCTCTGAATGCCCTTTCTCTGTGAGCAGCATCGTCACACACCTTGTCACCCAATCTCAAAAATGGAAAGACACCTTCCAAGTAGCCTCTTCTCACCACCCTTATCCTATTCCACACCCTGTTTCAAACACTGTGAAGGTTTTTGGAGTAGCTGTTCAAAGGACCTACCACAATTAGTTTCTGAAAAGAACAAAAAAATTACTAGCTCCAGCTGGTTGACCATCACAATTGAGATCATGCTTGATTCTGCCTCTGATGTAAGATTTTCATTGCTCAAGGCAGTCAATAAATTTTGATTCTTAAAGACACACTCTGATAATTTTCTGTGAAGTAGGAAACTCACTCAAGAAGACCAGCCTTTGAGTGGTATCACAGTCTAGACTTTAAATTTATAAGGTGGAAATGGGCTGTAGTTGGAATAGATTCTTAGCTCTGTGGATTCTATTTCTATCACAGCTCTCCTATCCACCTCTCTCTCCGTTGCCCATGAAATGGCCTAAATCCAGGCCTTTAACACTTTTTATTTGAATTATTATGGAAATAGTTAACTGTCCTTACTGCCTCCAGACATGCTTCCCTCTAGCTTCCTCCTTCATATTGATGTGCAATGATATAAACTCCAAATCTGATCCAAGTCTGCTGAAAAGCCTTTAATAAATGACTTCCTACATTTTTTCAGGAAAAAGTTTAAGTTTTGTGGCTCATCACATACCACATTTTTTGAATGAATATACAGTAAAATAAAAAGTAGTAGAAATACCATTTGACCCAGCAATCCCATTACTGGGTATATACCCAAAGGATTATAAATCATGCTGCTATAAAGACACACACACACACACGTATGTTTATTGCGGCACTATTCACAATAACAAAGACTTGGAACCAACCCAATGTCCAACAATGATAGACTGGATTAAGAAAATGTGGCACATATACACCATGGAATACTATGCAGCCATAAAAAATGATGAGTTCATGTCCTTTGTAGGGACATGGATGAAGCTGGAAACCATTGTTCTCAGCAAACTGTTGCAAGGACAAAAAAACAAACACCCCATGTTCTTACTCATAGGTGGGAACTGAACAATGAAAACACATGGACACAGGAAGGGGACCGTCACACACCGGGGACTGTTGTGGGGTTGGGGGATGGGGGAGGGATAGCATTAGGAGATATACCTAATGCTAAATGATGAGTTACTGGGTGCAGCACACCAACATGGCACATGTATACATATGTAACAAACCTGCACGTTGTGCACATGTACCCTAAAACTTAAAGTATAATAATAATAAAAGAAAAAAAAGTAGTTGAATGAATATAGAGTAAACAAAAATGGGTAGGCCTCATGCTTCTATAAAATACAAGGCTTTATTAGGTAAATTAAAAGTTTCTTAAGCTTCCAACATTTTCTTATTCCACAGGAAGCTGTAAAATTTTCTGCACTGGATCCACACTTTGTCTTTATATTCTCCTCTCAGCACACCATTTCCCAATATTTGGTAACCCACAGGTTAGCATCGAAAATAAACAAGTCAGGGTGGCTGGCAAGGTGGCCAAATAGGAACAGCTCTGGTCTGCAGCTCCCAGTGAGATCAACGCAGAAGGCAGAAGGTGGGTGATTTCTGCATTTCCAACTGAGGTAACCAGCTCATCTCATTGGGACTGGTTAGACAGTGGGTGCAGCCCAAGGAAGGTGAGCTGAAGTAGGGTGGGGCATCACCTCACTCACGAAGTACAAGGGGTTGGGGAACTCCCTCCCCTAGCCAAGGGAAGCCATGAGGGACTGTGCCATGAGGAATGGTGCATTACAGCCCACGTACTATGCTTTTCCCATGGTCTTCACAACCTGCAGACCAGGAGATTCTCTCGGGTGCCTGCACCACCAGGGCCCTGGGTTTCAAGCACAAAACTGGGTGGCCATTTGGACAGACACCAAGCTAGCTGCAGGAGTTTTTTCATACCCCATTGGTGCCTGAGAATGCCAGCAAAACAGAACCGTTCACTCCCCTGGAAAGGGGGCTGAAACCAGGGAGCCAAGTATTCTAGCTCAGAGTATCCCACCCCCACAGAGCCCAGCAAGCTAAGATCCACTGGCTTGAAATTTTCACTGCCAGCACAGCAGTCTGAAGTTGATCTGGGATGCTTGAGCTTGGTGGGGGGAAGGCTACTCAAGCCATCACTGAGGTTTGAGTAGGCAGTTTTCCCCTCACAGTGTAAACAAAGCTGCCAGGAAGTTTGAACTGGGTGGAGCCCACTGCAGCTCAGCAAAGCCACTGTAGCTAGACTGCCTCTCTAGATTCCTCTTCTCTGGGAAGGGCATCTCTGAAAGAAAGGCAGCAGCCCTAGTCAGGGGCTTATAGATAAAACTCCCATCTCCCTGGGACAGAGCACCTGGGGGAAGGGGCAGCTGCAGGCACAGCTTCAGCAGACTTAAACGTTCCTCTCTGCCAGCTCTGAAGAGAGCAATGGATCTCCCAGCACAGCGCTCAAGCCCTGCTAAGGGACACACTGCCTTCTCAAGTGAGTCCCTGACCCCTGCACATCCTGACTGGGAGACACCTCCCAGCAGGGGTCGACAGACACCTCACACAGGAGAGCTCTGGTTGGCATCTGGTGGGTGCCCCTCTGGGACAAAGCTTCCAGAGGAAGGAACAGGCAGCAATCTTTGCTGTCCGGCAGCCTCCGCTGGTGATACCTGGGCAAACAGGGTCTGGAGTGGACCTCCAGCAAATTCCAGCAGATTGGATGTTATTGGTTTATAGAAATGCTACTGAATTTTGGACATTGATTTTCTATCCTGGAACTTTGTTGAAGTTGTTTATCAGAGCTGGGACCCTTTTGTCAGAGACTGGGATTTTCTAGGTATAGAATCATATTATCTGCAAACAGAGATAGTTTGACTTCCTCTTTTCCTATTTGGACACCTTTTATTTCCTTCTCTTACCTGATTGCTCTTGCTAGGACTTCCAGTACTACAATGGCTAGGAGTGATGAGAGTGGGTATCCTTGTTTTGTTCCAGTTCTCAAGGGGAATGTTTCTGGATTTTGCCCATTCAGTATGATGCTGGCTGTGAGTTGTCACGGATGGCTCTTATTATTTTGAGTTATGTACCTTCAATACCTAGTTTGTTGAGGGTTTTTAAACACGAAAAGATGTTGAATGTTATTGAAAGACTTTTCTATGATGATCATGTGGTTTTTGTTTTTAGTTCTGCTTATGCAATGAATCACATTTATGGATTTATGTATGTTGAACCAACCTTATATCCTAGGAATAACGCCTACTTGATTTAGTAGATTAGCTTTTCGATGTGCTGCTGGATTTTTGTTGAGGATTTTTGCATCTATGTTTATCAGGGATATTGGCCTGAAGTTTTCTTTTTCCATTGTTTCTCTGGCAGGTTTTGGTATCAGAATAATGCTGGCCTCATAGAATGAGTGAGGGCTCAGCTCAGGCTCTTTGTTCACTCCCCAGCTTGCAGGCAGCAGGGGCAGGGACCTTGGCAGTGACAATGTTAGAGGGCCTTACACTTATCTCTTGGAGCTCCAACCCAGAGAAATGCAGAGCCTCTGCTAACCAAAATGATCAGCCCGGGGTGGAGTGGCTATGTCACACACCCAAGTTGGAGGCCTTGCCTGGTGGTGAGCAGGGGGTGGGGGCTTACAGGGAAGACAGTCTGGCCTCTTTGGGAAAGAGCAAAGAACCTGAGTGCCTGTGGTATGCTGGAGGTGTAATAAGGCACTCAGGTTCTTTGTTCTTTCCCAACCTGGTGGCAGCAATAGCAGGCACCGCTGTAGCAGTGGTGTCAGAGGGATCGTCAGTTGCCTCTGAGAACTCCACCCCAGAGATACATAAAGCTACTGCCAATGGGAATGATCAGCTGGGGGTGGGGTGGCTGCATGGCAGACCCAATCCAGGGGCCCTGCCTGGTGTAGAGCAGGGGGTCAGGGGTTCACAGGGAAAAGAGACTGGGTTCCTCTCTGTAGGACAGCTGCAGCATGCTGGAGGTACCAGCAAAACAGTCAGGATCTTTGTTCTTTCCCCAGCCCGAGGGCAGCAAGGGCAATATCCCCGCAGCTGAGATGGTAGAGAGCCTTTGGGTCGTCTCTGGGATTTCCTCTCCAGATAAAAGCAGTGCCACCACTGACTGAAGTGCTCAGGCGGGGGCAGGATGACTGTGCTGGGGTCCAGGTTGGGAGGCCCTGCACAGTGAGGAGTAGCAGGGGCAGGAATCCACAGGGGAAATAGTCTGGCTGCTTTCCTGCATGGCAGCTGCACTGCGTTGGAGACACATGATAGTCCTTAGGCTCATCACTTACTCCCTCTGCAGCCTCAGGGCAGTAGGGGTGGGGGCTGCAGCAGCAGCAAAAAGGCGGAACTGTCAGTTAACTCTGGGAGCTCTGGCCCAGGGAAGTGCAGAGTCACTACTAGCCTAAGTGTTCAGGCAGGGGTGTGTTGGCTGCGCTGGGGACCTGGGCCCGTGGGCTTTGGCTGGCAAGGTGTGGCGAAGGTAAGGCCTATAGTCTGTCTGCTCCTCAGCACTGTGAAAGCAGCATGTATCTTGGGAGCGTGCAAGAGGGCCTGGCCTCACCTGCTGGCAGAGCTATGGCAGCTGACCCTGGGATGCTCAGGAGCCCAAGGCCCTTGAGGCTCCATATGTGCCTGAGTGGCAGCTCTGCCCAGACTCTGCACAGCGCTCTGTCAGTCTGGAGGCCCTGGAGAGAGAGGGTCAGGGGATCTCCTGTGCCCAGGATTGCAGAGATCCATGGCAAGAGTATGGGCTCCTGGGGGCTCTTGCCCACTCACACTTTCCCTGTGGTGAGAAGCCTTCCTTGGCTCCATGCGAATCCCAGGTGGGCAGCTGCCCTGTCTCACTCTTCTCTCTTCTCTCTGGGTTTTGTTGCTTCCTTGATGAGTCCCAACGTGTCCTCCTGGGCAATCCAGTTGAAGAGGTAGTGTTTATTGGCCATTCTGTCCCTTGATATTACACAACCCATCTGAGCCATAGACCTTCAGCCACATCCATGACCAAGTGCCTGGGAGATTTAAATAAACTCGGTGCTCTGCTTGTGTAGTAAAAACAGACTACCACCTAAGCTGAGATTTTTAATCATCACTTATGGAAAGGATATCCATGAAAGTCCATTAAAACTATGAATATATACAGATTGAATATCTGATAAGACACATCTTGAAAATATGTAAATATTTTGATGCATAATGTTTAAGGAAGGAGAAAAGAACAGAGACCTTTTTTTAACCTTTTCGTCCTATGTGATATCTGTATTTAGAATATAGTTAACTCATCTGCAAATCCGATTCCAAATAATAGAGAAAAAAATCTATGTTAATTTTTCCCCATTTCACTTGTATTATTTGGAGATATGTAATTTCTAAAAGGCAATAGGCAATACAATGATATTTTAATTTTTAAAAACAAGCAGCTTTTTTTTTTTTGCTTTTCTCACTTGGAATGCCAATCAACAAGGGTTTTTTGGTTTTTTGTTTTTTTGCTTGTTTGTTTACTCTACTTATAATGAAATCAAGTAGTTTTTCTGAACAGAATAATATGTTTAGGGGAAGAAATAGCTTATAAGATTATTGACTGAATGTGAAACTCAAACATTAAATGAGATGAAAAAACTAAATTAGTTATTCCCTGAGACAAACAGGGATGGGAGAACACCTCTGGGAGGCAGCTCCTTTTCCTCAGTTTTACTTATGTATTTAGTTCAACATATCCACACATAGTGCTTATCATATACCAGGTACTATTGTAAAATACATAACTGTTGATTTACTGGGTTCTCATAACTCCCTAGGAAGGTTATTTTTATCATTTTGCCCTTTTACCTGAGGTAAGTGAGGCTCATACATGGTGTGATGGTTGATTTTATGCATTTACTTGACTGGGCATGGGGTGCACAGACATTTGATCAAACATTCTTCTGGGTACTTCCATGAGGGTGTTTTCTGATGAGATTAACATTGCAATCAGTAGACTAGTTAAAGCAGATTGTCCTTCTTAATGTGAGTGGCCCTCATCTAATCACCAGAAAGTCTGTTAAGTAGAACAAAAAGGCTGATTCTTGTGCAAATAAGAAAGAACTCCTCCTGCCTGGCGGTTTGAGCTTGGACATTGGTGTCTTCTGTCTTCAGACTCAGCTGAAACATTGGCTCCTCAGACTCACACTGGAACTACACCATTGGCTCTCCCAAGTCTCTAGCTTGTCAGTTGCACATCTTGGGACTTCTCAGCCTCCATAATTACATGAGCCAATTCCTTATCATAAATTTTCTTATATATATGCATGTGTACACACACACACACATATGCACACATATGCGCACGCGCACATACATGTGCACGCACACACACACACACGCACTCACACATACACACACAATCTGTTTATCCAGAGGACTCTAATACAGGGAGTAAGTGTCTCAAGGCCACATAGTTACAAAGCTCACCCAGGGAGTCTGACTCCAGGGCCCATACTCTGGGCATCAAATATCACTCAACGTTCACATAAAACATAATGTCTTAGGCACATTACATGTATAGTAAGTCATAACTTAATGTCATTGATAGGTTATTTGAAATTGCAACTTTAAGTGAAAAGACATACTGTATGCCATAGGAACTTAACTCTTATTTATATCAATTAGCATATGGTAAAATTGGTTTTGTTATATAGTACAATATTTTACTTAAAGTTGCAGTTTCTTTTTTTTTTTTTTTTTTTGAGACAGAGTCTCCCTCTGTCGCCCCGGCTGGAGTGCAGTGGCGCGATCTCGGCTCACTGCAAGCTCCGCCTCCCGGGTTCATGCCATTCTCCTGCCTCCGCCTCCCGAGTAGCTGGGACCACAGGCGCCCGCCACCACGCCCGGCTAATTTATTTTTTTTGGTGTATTTTTTTTTTTAGTAGAGACTGGGTTTCACCATGTTAGACAGGATGGTCTTAATCTCCTGACCTCGTGATCCACCCGCCTTGGCCTCCCAAAGTGCTGGGATTACAGGCATGAGCCACCACGCCCAGCCTAAAGTTGCAGTTTCTAAGAACCTGTCAATGCCATTAAGTGAAGACTTACTATACTCCTGTGAGATCAATACTAATATCTCAATTTGAGAAATGAAAAATTTGAGTCTCAGATGATTTAAGCAAAATACCCAAGGTTACACAGTTCTATGTAGCTGAGGTAGAACTTGAACCCAGATCTTTGTGGCTCCAAACACCATTTTCTTTCCAATTTGCCTTCTGTCAGTTGTCTACCTTTAATTAATATAAGTATTTATCTACCTTTAATTAATTACTATGCATAATCATGAAATAAGCTGAATTATCTCTGCATTTTAAGATCTAGATAAAATGGGTTTAATACCACACTGGTGGAAAATCCCAGTAGCCCTCCTGCATTTATGTGAATTTCAGATTCCCTGACTCTGAATTGACAAGTTCTCTAAACTCTTTTTTCTCTTTGCAGCATCTAGAAACTTCTTACTTCCACATGAGGAATACAATGTCATTTGTTGGATTTTCACATGACAACAAAAGAAAATAATAAACAAGACCTTGCTTGCATGGAAAATTCATTGCCTATTGTAGGAAAAGGCAGGGATGTCATTACACAGAGCAAAGAAAATAACAGAGGTTAATCAATGTTACTGCTAGCTTGCTCTTATATATACTTATTTTCATTTCTGATGCTTTTTTCCTCTCAAGGGTAAAAAAACAAACATCAAATCTCTATAAATCTCTCATGCAGGGCACCCAGCTTTCTGCAGCTCTGTCCTTCTTTGGTTTGTAATCCACACTTTTGAAGCCCGTCTAAGTGCATTCATAGACAAGGCCATCTCTCCCCTTGGCCTTTGACTGTGGGGCAGGGTGTAAAAAGTGGGAGGTGGGTTATATGCTTCTAGTTGGGTAAATGCTAAGCGTTTTTATGTGGGTTGCATTTTATTTTCGCTTTCTAACAACATAATTGAACATTCAGAAAGGGTGAGTAACTTTCCAAAAGTTTCACAGATACTGAAAGATAAGTCAGGGTTCATACTTTGGTCTGTCTGATCACAAGCCAGACTAAGATTTGAACTTCTCTGAGACTGTTTCCTCAAATTTAAAATCAGAATCATGTTATCTAATTCACTGGCTGAACCAAGCTCATTCCTCACCCATTTTTTATTGGTACTTCTTAAAGAATGTGGTCCTCACTCTCTAGGTTCCATGTTTTGAGCATAAAATTCCTATCCCTGTACCCCAGGCAGAGAGGACTGGACCAGGCTTGGACCTCTGACCTACAAGATCCAAGGCATTAGGTTTTCCTGGTTCATCACCTCCTTCAATTGTAGATGCTGCAGATGCTGCCCTCTCTGTAGAGGTTTAAGTAAACAGGAAAGAATGTTTAATGAAAATAAGGGGAACAAAGAAACCATGTGGAGTAAAAGCAGAGATGACACATCAGGAGGCTACAAATGAACAATAAGTGAAACATTAGTTCCTGGACCTCAAACCTTGATGCCAGCATTCAGGAGGCTTCCTAGGCAAGGAAGTAAATTGGTGTGAGGTGACTGAACTGCAAGATGAGGTGGAATTTCAAAATTCAGGCTGCCCTCTCTGCAGAGGTTTAAGTAAACAGGAAAGAATGTTTAATGAAAATAAGGGGAACAAAGAAACTATGTGGAGTAAAAGCAGAGATGACACATCAGGAGGCCACAAATGAACAATAAGTGAAACATTAGTTCCTGGACCTCAAACCTTCATGCCAGCATTCAGGAGGCTTCCTAGGCAAGGCCTGTCAGCTGTCCTATTTCTTCCACTAGATTTCTTTCTTTTGTTTTGTTTAAGCTAGTTTCAATGACAGGCAACTATCTCTTGTAATGAAATGATCCTAAGATAAAGTGTTATTGTAAAGTTCAAATGTAATTAGATAAGGAAATGTGCGTACATGTGGTTAGCACATATCTAGAAAATGATGGTTATTAAAGAGTAACTGGTTACAATTATCTCAATCTTATCACTATTAAAATTTCCCCAAGGTCAGCCTGCTTTTTTCAGGACAAGGATTATAATATTTCACGAGATTCAAATTAGTCGTATATTTTTAATTTGAAAAGAAAACTACAAAAGATGTTATAATTCAGTGTAAGCACATTTTATAGCAAATTTATTGTTTGATTTCATTTTCATGTTATATTAAAATTTTTTGTATCAGTGCTTGTCCAACATGGTACAATGGAAACAATCACATTGGAATAATCAAATTTTTGAATTACTTATAATATGCTCTTTCATTTTACCAGATTTTTTGAAATAAAAAATGAATATTGAAGAATATTCATAGTATCTATAGCTATTTTCTGTTCAATTTCTGAAAGAATGAGGAATAGTAGCTTTCCAAAAGCTGGATTTTGGTTTTTGTTTAATTATAATATCATTCAAAGGACTAATAAAGACTAAAAGGAACAATGACTTTATTGTAAAGATACGTATAGACTGACTCTTCAAAGTCACCATGAGGAAGGCTGCACTGTGGCTATTTAAATGTAAATATATTTAAATTAAACAAAACTAAAAATATAGTTTTTTAGTTACATGAGCCACATTTCAAGTGCTCAATATGTTGCTACCATATTGGATAAGTATGGAAGATTTCCTTCACCCCAGGAAGTTCTGTAAAGCACTAGCTTTCTCCACATCTTTCTTTCTTTATTAGGCATTGTTTTCCATAAAATTTTCTACCTGCTATGACCACTCAAAGCCCTACTTCCGTCTCACCCATGGGCAAAATATCCACTACAGTGGCCATTTACCTTTTTGTTAAAGTCACAGAAAGAATGTAGTAACACTCTGTTATTTTTTTTAATCCAACAACCTCTTTTAATTGTGAAACTGCTGCCTCTGACTACAAGCATGAGCAATTGACCAGGTCTAATCTCATCAACCATGGCTCCTTATATTCCTTACTCTAGTTGTGAGTCCAAGGGTAGGCATGGAATCGTATTAGGATCATAGACCCTCTACGAGATTATAATATTCCAATATTGGGGCAAGATAGGTCTCTCTTGCTTTTACTTGGAACAAGTGATCGATGGAGATGGCAGAGGCCATCTTGGCACCATAGGGAAAAGGCCTGCTTGAGAATGAAGCTAAGCAAATGCAAACAGTGCTGAGAGATGTGGCATTGTTCCTAAATCTCAATGTGTGAAAAAACCAATTCCTTTAGCTTGAATGTGGTTACAGCTGTTTGCAACCAAAATATTTCTGAGGCTGAGGAGGGAGGATTGCTTGAGCCCAGGAGTTTGAGACCAGCCTGGGCAATGTAGCAAGACCCTGTTTCCATGAAAAAAAAAATTACCTGGGCCTGGTTGTGTGTGCCTGTAGTCCCAGCTACTTGGGAGGCTGGGGTAGGAGGATCTCTCAAGCCCAGGAAGTCAAGGCTGCAGTGAGCCATGATGACACTGCTGCACTCCAGCTTACGCAACAGAGTGAGACCATTTAAGAAAAAGTCTGGTTAATATATGGGTATTCGTGCATTTTATGACATTGTGTATTAAAAGATACATATTTACAATACTACATTATTTAACTCTCTAAGTAGATTTCTATATAGTATAATACTGCCATTATGTTTTGTCTTTGACATTGCATATTGTCAATTTTATTCAGTTTATTTAGTGCATACTTTATGTAAGGTACTCTCATATTCAAAAATTCTTCTAATAAAATAAATGGACAAATCAAGAATGTATCAAAGAATATGAGTTCTGTCTTGATCATTGGTGTAGTTTGGATATTTGTGCCCTCCAAATCTCATGTTGAAATGTGATCCGCAATGTTGGAAGTGGGGCCTGGTGGGAGGTATTTGCATCATAGGGGTGGGTTCCTCATGAAAAGCTTGGTGTCGGCCGGGCGCGGTGGCTCACGCCTGTAATCCCAGCACTTTGGGAGGCCGAGGCGGGCGGATCACGAGGTCAGAGGATCGAGACCGTCCTGGCTAACACGGTGAAACCCTGTCTCTACTAAAAGATACAAAAAAATTAGCCGGCCGCGGTGGCGGGTGCCTGTAGTCCCAGCTACTCCGGAGACTGAGGCAGGAGAATGGCTCGGACCCGGGAGGCGGAGCTTGCAGTGAGCCGAGATTGCGCCACTGCGCTCCAGCCTGGGCGACAGAGCGAGACTCTGTCTCAAAAAAAAAAAAAAAAAGAAAAGCTCGGTGTCCTCCCTGTGGTAATGAGTGGGCTCTGGTTGTATTAGTTCACAGGAGGTCTGATTGGTAAAAAGAGTCTGGCACTTCGTTCCCTCTCTCGCCACCTGAGAGGCCAACTCCCCCTTCACCATCTGCCATGATTGTAAGCTTCCTGAGGCCTCACCAGAAGCAGATGCTGATGCCATGCTTTTTGTACAGTCTGCAGAACTGTGAGCCAAAATAAATCTCTTTTCCCTCTAAACCACTCAGCCTTGGCTGGCCGCGATGGCTCACGCCTGTAATCCCAGCACTTCGGGAGGCCAAGACGGGTGGATCACCAGGTCAGGAGATCGAGACCATCCTGGCTAACACGGTGAAACCCCGTCTCTACTAAAAATACAAAAAAAAAATTAGCCTAGCGTGGTGGCGGGCGCCTGTACTCCCAGCTACTCGGGAGGCTGAGGCAGGAGAATGGCGTGAACCCGGGAGGCGGAGCTTGCAGTGAGCCGAGATCGCGCCACTGCACCCCAGCCTGGGCGACAGAGCGAGACTCCCTCCCAAAAAAAAAAAAAAAAAAAAAATCACTCAGCCTCAGGTATTCCTTTATAGCAACGCAAAATTGACTAATACAATCACAATTACTTTTTAAATGCAAACTAGCTGTGAAAGTTGTCTGTCTCAAATATTTAAGACTATAATTTTATGATCATACAACTCATACTCCCAGCACTCAGTAAAGACAACGTATATTTCTGTCAGTCTTTCATACGCACAATTAGAAAATGATTAAAATAGTCTGATAATAGATTTCCCTGTTAAGCTCAGAAGCCCAGTATTCTTTCTTGGTTTTTAACTGGCATGCTCCTTTTAATTTTATATGTATTTCTTTTAATGATGAATATAGAGGCAATAAATAATACTTTTCTTTATATATGATTGGATTACAATTAACTGATGAATTTAGGAAAGGACTTAAAGATTTATTTTTATCATCTTGTAATTTAAAACAAAACAACAGGGCTATAAACTCCAAATATGCAAGTAAATGTAAAGCTCAACTTCAAAAAATAAATGACTTGACAATGATGAAAAAGTAGAAAATGTTTGAGAAACTTTATAGAAATATCCTTTTACTTCAAAAACAGGAGAAATATGTACCACAGGTAGGCCCCTACTTACAGACTCCTAATTATTCATATGTGAATTCTCAGAAGGCAAGGGCTGGGGGTAATACTGCTTTTAATGAAAGTCTGCTCTTATGAGTTTTCAGATGCCATAACCAAACTGACATTGTGTACCGTTGTTCTCTGGGGAGCTTCATGCACAGAATGAACTCATATGTTACATGACCTTGGGCCAAACAATATCTTAAAGAAGTAATCAGTATAACATTTCAGAAATTGAGGTGGCCAAAGTCGGTCCAGGAAAGTCTCTCAGGATTTGATATGCTGAGTGCAGGAGAATTCATTTTCCATTCAGAGAAAAGGTCGTACAAAGTCTTCATGTGCCTCAAGTGCTGAAAGCAATATAGAAGAAGAAAAATTGGGCTTAAACAAAATTTTAAAAAATCTGTCTTCATTTTCTCCCCCGTGATCCTTTATATCTAGGAAGGCTATTACTGTGGAGAGGCCTTAATATGGACTATTTAGACCAGTCATTTGAACAAATGTCCTAACAACAGCAGAAAAACATGATCAGTGTTCTGCAGAATCTGGACTTGTAATCAAGTAGTCAGTGTTTAAGAGACAAGTTTAGGTCATGGAAATATACTGGAGCCAAAAATCAGAATTCTAGTTTTTGCTCCAGCACTGATTTGTTCAGCTATGAGTGATGTTTTCAGATAGATTTCTTTAGGGTAGGAAGCAATAATGTTATATGAGTTGGAAAGGCTTGATGAATGTTACTGAGTAAATAGATGTTTGCTGATTGCTGTTGAACAGTGGATCAAATTATTAAAGAAAAGTTAGGATAGAAAAATCCAAATACAGGCGGGGTGCGGTGGCTCATGCCTATAATCCCAGCACTTTGGGAGGCCGAGGCGGGCGGATCACGAGGTCAGGAGATCGAGACCATCCTGGCTAACACGGTGAAACCCCATCTCTACTAAAAATATAAAAAATTAGCCGGGTGTGGTGGCAGGCGCCTGTAGTCCCAGCTACTCGGGAGCCTGAGGCAGGAGAATGGCGTGAACCCGGGAGGCGGAGCGTGCAGTGAGCCGAGATCGCACCACTGCACTCCAGCCTGGGAGACAGAGCAAGACTCGGTTTCCAAAAAAAAAAAAAAGAAAGAAAGAAAAGAAAAATCTAAATACAAAATTATAACAGTATGTAGCCATTTAGAGTTCATTAGTTACAAAGCTGTTAAGATTATAGATATTGCATATTATAATATATACGTGTGGAATTTCTGGAACTGATATTGTTTTTGTTTAAGCAGTTGCCAGTTTGGCAACATTTTACATTTTCTGTAGTGAGTGAAAACAAATTATTTGATCTGTAATTACTATTTTATGAAATATATTATTTGACTGTTAAATCATCAATTCTTTTGGAGCTGGCCAACAATGTACCAATTTATTTTTAGTAGTGCAGCCCATGATAAAGAAAAGCAGAAAGCCACTAAGGACAAAAAGATTACTGAGAGCTCCTCCTCATTGTACTTAAATTTTGTTTAGGATGAGATAAACGGAAAAAGAGCTTCAGACTTTGAAGATCTAGAAATGTGGGCAAATTTTCCAAATGTTCGTGTGGATGAGTAAACTGTCACATTTCCAGAACGAAGAACATTGTTTTTTATTCTGCCTGGACTAGTATTAGGGAAAATGTTCAATTGAAAAAGTTACCATATAAGAATTATATCCAGAATATCATATTTAATTGATTTTTTGCTTACACACAAAAAAAAATTCAATTATCAATGTTTTTGAGCAAAAATAAGGCAACAGGTCAGGCTCTAAAAATAAATATAAGACTATAAAAGATGCATGTCTTATATTCTACCATGGTAAATGGGGCAGTGAAAGGAGTATGCGGAGTCCTCCTTCTGGTATACAGAATTTATATTATTGCTTTATTATTGCCTCACACACATCAACCCTTGAGGCAGGAAAGATGTGTTCATAGAAAGCAACTTACCAGTGACCGTGCCAGACATGTTCAAATGTGCTTCACTATGACATGGTAAGAATACACTAATATTAATGTAACATCAACAAGAATTCAGTAAAGATAGAAATCTGATAATAGTAACAACCATCATTAATTAATGAGTCCTTGTTATATACCAGGCACTGTGTTAGTGCTCTCTGTCTTTCTGTCTGTCTCTCTCTCTCAGAAACTATGCATATTCATATATATTTATATAAAATGATCATACAATTCTAGCAGCCACATAAAAGTTTGGAAGCATTTCCCCTTTTTTCTCTTTTTGAAGAAATGGGGAAACACAGGCACAGACAAATATGGAAACTTTGCAGCATTCATGCAGAGGATGCAGAATGGAGCCTGAATTAAAGTGCTCCCTCGGATAGAAGAGGCTTCATTCTTCTTTCTAGAAAGACTGTGTGGTGAAGGTCCTGGATTGTGACAAATATGTTATTTCCTCTAAACCCAGACTCCCTCCTCTTCAGGTGGTTTGAACCGTCTTTCCTACCCCTAAACCTGTAGATTATGCCTCCATCTCTCCCATCCTTACACTCCACTCAAAAGGTAATCTGCTCTCTTCGTTCTTTCTCTTAGTCCATTCTGCCTCCAAATGTCTCCACCATACTCTCTCTGGAACACCATTCCATTCTCATCAACTCCCTCCACATCCTCTACCTTACACACCTTGACTTAAGTGAGCCTTCTATAAAGACACTGCCCACCTCCCACCTCCAGCAATTCAAAGGGATGCTTCTCAGAGTTGGAGGCTTCTTGGGGTTGGGAGGAGAGGCCAGTGTTCTCCATCCTCAGTGCAGTTCCAGACCATTCGTCCTCTGAAACAAACCCTTTCCCTTGAGGCTGACAACATCCAGCCATGTGACCCTGTACTTCTTTCTCACACTCTTGCTTTTACTGAAGACTTTGAAGCTTTTTCTCTAAGTTTCACCATCATTTTTGTATCTGGCACATAGTAGTTGCTAAATTATATTATTAAAAAATTCACAGTGATTATTCGTAATAAATTATGTGTGATACACTCACAATTCATGGTGAAATGACCATGTATCTCGAGAAGAGATTTGAAAAGGACAATGAGGACACCCCTTCCCATACTCCAAACTCTAAGTTGCATGATCTTGTCAGTCTCAGGATTGTCAGCCATCCACTTCCACAGCCAAATCCTAGACATGCTGGAGCTTCGAAATATTCTATTATAATATCACATACATACACACTTATTCCAAACTGCATTCCTCCAGCCATCACTCGTCACCTCCACTCTGCCTTTCTTCATTGTATTGTAAAGAATGAATTGGGTTAGTGTGACAGCCTTTATCAGTATTCCCATTACTCTACTACTTTGTCTTCCTACCGTACCTCCTGTGGAAAAAAATTCCACATCATCATCCACCAGACCGTCTTCTGTTCTCCTCCTACACAAACAACTCTCCTACAGATGGAGAAACTCATATAACTGCATTAAAAGTTCATTTGAAAGGCATAGTTGCCAAACTCAATTGGAATACCACCTGGTATTTCTATATTTTCCTGGGCAACTTTCTCTTTCACTTCCCACAGAGCATATTTCAAACTTCTATTGTGCTTTAGTTTTCTTTATTACATCACCATATGAAAGTGTAATTCATTTATTGTGCACTTACTTACTAGACATCTGTTATGTGCCAGGCAAAGGGTGCTGGGTATTATGGTAGAAAAAAGTATAACATTTGAGTTTGTTCCCTCTCACTTCTGCCTTCGTTCCTAAAAGCATTCACCTATCTCTGTGCCCACCTTGCCTAGGGGAAGATATATCTCCCTCCATGCCCAACCATTCTACCTGTACTCTGTTAGCTCAGCCATTACCTCAGTTAGCTTATCCCTCTCTCCTCTACCTGAAAATTCTCCATCCTACCGGCTCACTTCCCCAGCAACACTTACACTTATTTATTTCTGTCCTATCTTTAACCAATCAATATGACCACTCTCAACCATCATGTTTGCTTCTAAGTATTTCCCTATATCTTCTACATTCTTCAGACCCGCGGTACAGTTGTCCATGCTCCCCTCCTCATTCATTTCATTCTCTCTCCAGCCTCCTGCAGTTTGGCATCTTCTCCACTATTCTACTGCAGCGGTCCCTTCCAGGGTCAACAAAGCCTCTTTATTAGAAAATGCACAGGGCACTTACTTTCTTCAGTCTTTGAACTCTGCAGGCATTGTGTGTGTGTGTGGGGGGGGGGTGGAGACAGAATTTCGCTCTTGCTGCCCAAGGCTGGAGTGCCATGGCACAATCTCTGCTCACTGCAACCTCCACCTCCTGGGTTCAAGTGATTCTCCTGCCTCACCCTCCCAAGTAGCTGGGATTACACGTGCCTGCCACAATGCCTGGCTAATTTTTGCATTATTAGCAGAGACAGGGTTTCACCATGTTGGCCAGGCTGGTCTCAAACCCCTGACTTCAGATGATCTACCCGCCTCAGCCTCCCAACGTGCTGGGATTACAGGCGTGAGCCACTGTGCCTGGCCAGGCATTTCTTTTTATAAACCGTGTACCCTGCCTCTGGGCCACCAGAGGTTCCTGGTCTTCTCCCACTCACCTCTATGTTCAGTTACTCTGCCTGTCATGACATGCGGTGATCATCTCTCCTTACAGTTTGTGTGTTCCACGAATGACATCATTTACTCCCTCAAATCCAAGTGCATATTTTATTTGTGTGAATCCCCAATAAGTAAGTTCCTATGGACAGAGGCTGTGCATGTTCGTTGTTTTAGTCCTGACACCTATCACAGCTGCCTGACAACCCAGTGCCCAGCAATACAGAAAAATGCACAGACTGAATAATACAGGAAATTGTAGTCTGGGCGCGGTGGCTCAGGCCTGTAATCCTAGCCCTTTGGGAGGCCGAGGTGGGTGGATCACGAGGTCAGGAGATCGAGACCACGATGAAACCACGTCTCTACTAAAAATACAAAAAAAATTAGCCGGGCGCGGTGGCGGGCGCCTATAGTCTCAGCTACTCGGGAGGCTGAGGCAGGAGAATGGCATGAACCCAGGAGGCGGAGCTTGCAGTGAGCCGAGATCGCGCCACTGCACTCCAGCCTGGGCGACAGAGCGAGACTGTGTCTCAAAAAAAAAAAAAAAAATACAGGAAGTTGTAACCAGGAGGACCCATTGAAAGTGGAGTGTATTCTTTCACTCAGTATTCACTGGGAATGCACTATACACTAGTTCCAATGCTTGTGTTGGGAATTCAGTGAAGAGCAAGAAAGACAAAGTAGCCCCTGGCACTTACATTCTAGTAAGGGAAATAGTCATTAAACATATATACTATATAGGGTGTCAGAGAGTGACAAGTGCCACGAAGAAAATAAAGCAGGGAAGGGAGTTACAGAGTGATAGAAGGTAAAAGTGCGCCAGCTAGTTAGGGTAGTCTGGGAAGGAAGGCTTTTTGGTGGCATTAACCCTGAAGAAATGAATGTAATGAGAAAATGCCTAGCGGCTATTTGAAAGAAAACCATTTCAAGAGGAGGAAATGGTAAGTACAGTGAAGTGGGAAAGGCTTTGGGGTACTTGAGGAGCAGAAATCAGGCCAAAGGGATTGGAGCTGAAGTTCTGATTCTAGGTAGAATATAGGAGGCAGTGGCACTGCATCACTCCCACTGGAACAAGTAGTTCAAAAAGTAAAGAAATTGGAAATGTAATCGTTTTAAAGATATCAGAGAGCTGTGGTGGCATAGATGATTAGATGGACTACAAGTGAAGTTGAGATGACTCCTATTTCCTTCACTGAGAGGCAAGGTTTCTGTTCAGACTTGCCCTAAGCTGAGGTGTTTCGCCAGGGGAAAGAGAAGACAATAGAGTTTACTTTCTACCTAGCTTCATTGAGGTACGACTCATGCACCGTACAATTCACCCATATAAAATTTACAATTCAATATTTTTTAGTGTTTTAGAGATATGTGCAACCATCCCCACAGTCAACTTTTGAACATTTTTATCACCTCAGAAATAAAAGCCATGGCCGGGCGCAGTGGCTCACGCCTGTAATCCCAGCACTTTGGGAGGCCGAGGCGGGCAGATCACGAGGTCAGGAGTTTGAGATCAGCCTGGCCAATATGGTGAAACCCCGTCTCTACTAAAAATACAAAAATTATCCAGGCACTGTGGCACGCGCCTGTAGTCCCAACTACTTGGGAGGCTGAGGTAGGAGAATTGCTTGAACCCTGCATTCCAGCCTGGGTGACAGGGCAAGACTCCATCTTAAGAAAAAAAAAGAAAGAAAAAAAAGCCACATGCTTCAGCTATTACTCCTTGTCTTCCTAAGCAGCAACTAGGCTTCTTTCTCCCAGTAGATTGTCCTATTGTGGACATTTCTTATGAATGGAGTCAATAATATGTGGTCTTTTGTTACTGACTTCTTTCAGTTAACATAATGTTTTCAGGGTTCTCCATGTTGTGGCATGTATCAGCTCCTCATTCCTTTTTTGTGAGTAAAGAAAAAATAACAAAATTTAACATTTTAACCATTTTCAAGTGTACAGTACAGTACTGTTAACTGTATGCAAGTTGTTGTGCAATAGGCCTCTGTAACTTTTTCATCTTGCCAAAGGGAAACTCTGTACCCGTGGAAAAACTCCCCATTTCCCCCTCTTCCCTAGCTCTGGTTGTCACATTCTACTTTCTGTTTCTATGAATTTGATTACTTTCGAAAATGTATACACAGGGAATCATGCAGCATTATTCCTTTCATGACTGGCATATTTCATGTAGCATAATGTGCTCAAGCCTTATCCGTGTTGTAGCATATGGTAAGATTTTCTTCTTTCTTTAGGCTGAATAATATTCCAGTGAATATATGGTTTATACATTAATTTGTCAGGAGATATTAGTGTTCTTCCAACTCTTGGCTATTGTGAGTAATACTGCAATAAAGATGGATGTGCAAATATCTTTTCAAAATCCTACTTTAAATTTTTTTGATATATACCCAGAAGTGGGATTGCTGGACTATATGGTAGTCCTGTTTTAAATTTTTTGAAGAACCTCTGTTTTCCATAGTGGCTACACCATTTTACGTTGACACCAACAGTGCACAAGGGTTTCAAGTTCTCTATATCCTTGCCAGTATTTCTTATTTTCTGTTTCTGTTTTGTTTTTTTGGATAGTGGTCTAGCTAAGAGATGTGAGGTGACATCTCATTGTGGTTTTGATTTGCATTTCTCTGATTAGTGATATTGAACATATTTTTAAATGTTGGCCATATTGATGTCATCCTTAAAGAAATGTCTATTCAAATACTTTGTTAATAGGGTTTTTTGTTTGTTTGTTTGTTTGTCTAGTTTTGATGTTGTTGAGTTGTAGGAATTCTCTATATGTTTGGATATTAACCCTCATCAGATGCATGGTTTGCAAATATTTTCTTCCATTCTGTAGGTTGCCTTTTCACTCTCTTCATTATTTCCTTTCTATGCAGAAGATCTGAAGTTTGATTTAGTTGCATTTGTATATTTTTGCTTTTATTTCCTCTGCCTTTGGTGTCATGTCCAAGAAATCATTGCCAAATCCAAAAACATGAAGCTTCTCCCCTATATTTTTATCTTACTAGATAATGTTATAATTTTATAAATTTTAGTTTTATAAATATAATTTTATAAATTACAGTTTTATAATTTTAGGTCTTACATTTAGGTCATTAATCCATTTTGGTTTGTTTGTTGTTTTGAGACAGGGTCTCTCTCTGACAACCAGGCTGGAGTGCAGTGGCATCATCACAGCTGACTGCAGCCTCAACCTTCTGGGCTCAAGCAATCCTCCTGCCTTACCCCCACCTCTCCCAGTAGGTGGCACTACAGGGTGCGCGCCACCACACCCGGGGGAATTTTTACATTTTTTGTAGAGACGGGTTCGCAGTGTTGCCCAGGACTTGAGCGATCCTCCCACCTCAGCCTCCCAAAGTGGTGGGATTACAGGCGTGAGCCACTGCACCTAGCCGTTAATTCATTCTGAAGTGATTTTTGTATATAGGTACAGGAAGGTAAGGGTCTAACTTCATTATTTTACATGTGAATATCAAGTTTTCTCAGCACCATTTGTTGAAGACACTATCTTTTCCCCATTGTATAGTCTTGATGCCCTTATGGCAGATTATTTTACCACATATGTGAGAGTTTATTTCTGGGCTCTCTATTCTGGCCCATTGGTCTATATGTGTGTCTTTATTCCAGTATTATGCTATTTTGATTACTGTAGCTTTACACTGTTTTTTGAACTTGAGAAGTGTGAGACCTCCAGCTTTGTTTTTCTTTCTCATAACTGTCTTGACTATTTGGAATACTTTGAGACTCCTAATGGATTTTGGATTTTTTTTCTGTTTCTGCAAAAAATTCCAATGAGATTTTTATACGGACTGCATTGAATCTGTAGATTTGGGGGGTAGTATGAACACTGTAACCATATTCTTTTCCAATCCAGGAACATGGGATGTCTTTATATTTATTCGTGTCTTCATTAATTACTTTCAGCAATATTAAGAGTATTCAGTATACAGGTCTTTTGCCTCTTTGGTTGAGTTTATTCCTAAGTATTTTATTCTTTTTGATGCTCTTGTAAAGGGGATTTAAAAACATTTTCTTTTCTGATTATTTATTCTTAGTGTCTAGAAATGCAACTGATTTTTGTGGGTTGATTTTGTTTCCTGCAACTTTACTGAATTAGTTTATTAGTTGTAACAGTTGTCTCTCTCTGTGTGTGTGTGTGTGTGTGTGTGTGTGTGTGTGTGTGTGTAATCCTTCAGGTTTTCTACATGTAAGTTTATATCATCTGCAAACAGAGATAATTTTATTTCTTCCGTTCAAAATTGAATGCTTTTTACTCCTTTTTCTTGCCTAATTGCTCTGGCTAGAACTTTCAGTACTGTGTTGAATAGACATGGCAAGACTGGGCATGCTTGCCTTGTTTCTATTTGTAGAGGGAAAGCTTGAGTATGATGGTAGCTATGGGCATTACCTATAGGGCTTTTTATATGTTGATGTAATTTTCTTTTATTTCTATATTATTGAATTTTACATGAAAGGGTGCTGAATTTTATTAAAATCTTATTATTGCACTAATTGAGATGATCATGTGACTTTTTTACCTTTCTGTCAGTTAATATAGTGTATTGCATTGACTAATTTTTGTATGTTGAACCATCCTTGCATCCCAGGAATAAATACCACTTGGTCATAGTGTACTGCTGAATTAAGTTTATGATATTTTGTTGAGAATTTTTGCATCAACATTTAGCAAGATTATTGGTGTGTAGTCTTTTTGTGGTGTCCTTCTTTAGCATTGGTATTAAGGTAATACTGGCCTCATAAAATGAAAGTATTTTTTCTTCTGAAATTTTTCAGAAGAGTTTGAGAAAGAGTGATGCTAACTACTCTTTAAATGTTTGGTAAAACTCATCAGTGAAACCGTCTAGTCCTGGGGCTTTTCTTCATTGGGAGATTTTTGATTACTAATTCAATCTCCTAAGTTATAGATGTGTTCAGATTTTAATTTATTCACAATTCAATCTTGGTAGGTAGTATATTTCTAAGAATTTATTTCTTCTAAGTTATCCAATGTACTGGAGTATTGTTCATAGCAGTCTCTCGTAATCTTTTTACTTCTGCGTCCTCATTTTTAATGTCTCATTTCTGATTTGTGTTACTCTACTTTAGACTTCTATTTTCTTACTTATTGAAAGAATTTGTTAAATTTTTTATTTTTTAAAAAAACTCTTATTTCATTGATTTTTCTATTTTTTTTTAATTTATTCTCTATTTCATTTATGTTTTCTGTAATCTACGACCTTCCTTTTGCTAACTGTAATCTAGGACCTTCCTTTTACTAACTTTGGATTTAGTTTGCTATTCTTTTTCTAGTTCTTTGAGATACAAAATTATCTCCAATTATTGATTGGGGATCTTCTTTTAAAAATACAAACATTTACTGCCACAGTTTTGGTGTGTTGTGTTTTCATTTTCACCTGCTTTAAAATACTGTTAAATAGTGATTTCTTGACTCATCAAGTTGTTCAAGAGTATATTGCTTAATTTCCACATCTTTGTGAATTTTCTAGTTCAGAGTTTTCTAGTCCAGATTTCTAGTTTCATGATTATTAGAAAATATAGTTGGTTTTCTTTCAGTTTTTTTTTGAATTGTTAAAACTTGTTTTGTGTCCTAATATGTGTTCTGTCTTGGAGACTGTTTTATGTGCACCTGAGAAGAATGTGTATATTAACATAGGGTGGAATATTGTTTATATATCTATTAGAGTCAATTCACTTTTAGTATTGTTCAAGTCCTTTATTTCCTTATTATTTTTCTTTCTGGTTGATCTATTTATTATTGAAAAAGAGTATTGTAATCTCCTCCTATTATTTTTTTAATCTAATTCTTCCTCCAGTTCTATCAATGTTTGCTTCATGTATTTGGGTGCTCTGCTGTTTGGTGCATATAGACTTATAAGTGTTGTACTGTGAATTGACACTTTCATCAATATGATGTGTCTTGTTTTTCTCTTGTGACAGTTTTTAGCTTAATGTCTATTTTGTCTGATATATGTATGGGCACCCTTGCTATTTTGGTTACCTCTTGCATGGAATATATTTTTCTATTCCTTCATTTTCAGCCTGTGTATGTTTTCAAAGCTAAGTGAATCTCTTGTAGATAGCATGCAATTGGATCTTTTTAAAATTGATTCCGCCACTCGGTCTTTTGACTGCGGAGTTTAATCCATTCACACTTAAAGTAATTATTGATGGGGAAGGACTTACTATTGCAATTTTGTTAATTGTTTTCAGTATGTCTTAGAGTTGTTTGTCCCTCTTTTCCTCTCTTGCTGCCTTTGTGTTTCATTGATTTTTTTGTAGTGTTATGCTTTGAGGACTTCCTTATTTTCTTTGGTATGTCTTCTATAGCAATTTTCTCTGTAAGTTACCATGGGGATTATATAAAACATCTTATAGCTATAACAATTTATTTAAACTAAAAATTTAATTCAATTGCATACAAAACCTCTACTCTTTTACCTCCAATTCACCTTACATTATCAATGTCACAAATTATACTTTTAGTATTTTGTATCCATTAATATAATTTAATAATTATGGTTATTTTTATGCTCTTATTTATACCTGATTTAAAAATGATTTATGGACCACTATTGTAGTATGACAAGATTCTGCATTTTTTTTTTTTTTTAGACAGAGTCTCACTCTGTCACCCAGGCTGGAGTGCAGTGGTGCAATTTCAGCTCGCTGCCAGTTTTGCCTCCTGGGTTCATGCCATTCTCCTGCCTCAGCCTCCTGAGTAGCTGGGACTACAGGCACCCGCCACCATGCCCTGCTACTTTTATTTTATTTTATTTTTTATATTTTTAGTAGAGACAGGGTTTCACCGTGTTGGCCAGGATGGTCCCGATCTCCTGACCTCGTGATCCGCCCACCTCAGCCTCCCAAAGTTCTGAGATTACATGCTTGAGCCACTGCGCATGGCCTAGATTCTGCATTTGACTATATGTTTACCTTTACCAGAGAGCCTTATACTTTTGTATGCTTTCAAGTTGGTATCTAGCTTTCTTTTATTTCAACTGAAAGGACTACCGTTAGTAATTCTAGCAAGGTAGGTTAATGGTGATGAACTTCTTCAGCTTTTGCTTATCTGGGAAGATCTTTATTTCTCCTTCAGTTTTGAAGGGCAGATTTGCTGTCTATTCTTAGTTGGCAGTTTTCTTTCTCTTTCAGCCCTTTGAATATACTACCCCATTCCCTTTCAGTCTGGAATGTTCCTGCTGATGAGTTTGCTGATAATCTTATGAGAGTTCTCTTGTATATAAGTCACCTTTCTCTTGCTGCTTTCAAGATTGTCTGTCTTGGACTTTTGACTGATTATAATGTGTCATTGTGTTGGATCTTTAGGTTCATCTTAGACAGAGTCCTTCAAGCTGCTGAAATTTGGTTGTCCATTTCGTTTTTCAGATTTGGGAAGTTTTCAGCCATTTCTTCAAATAAGCTCTCTGCCACAGGCTACTCTTCGTTGTGCAATCTGTGGACCCAGTTGTCATCTGCCACCACTGTCTAGTTATCTTTTGACTGCCACAAGTGGACTCCAAAAAATCTCCAAAAGAAATTGTTACCATAACAAGATGGCCAACTAGACACAGCCAGGAAGCACTGCTCCCACTGAGAGACACCAAAATATTGAGTACAGCAATGTATTTTGAGCCCATCTTCAGAGAGAAAATGCTGAGAGTCATTACAGAGGTGATGCAGACAACAAGGCTGAAGAGGGAGGAAGCTGGAAACCCTGCACAGGATACTTGCATGACAGGGCTAGTTCCCAGACCTGAATGCCTCCTGGGGAAGGGATAAGTGAAGGGATGGAGGGACAGGCCACTCTCACTGTGGACCTCTGGGATCCTAGGTATATAGAACTTCACATTCTCCATGGACATTTGAGCTGGCAGGGGGATCTTCAAAGAGAGTTGGCAGAGACAGGGCTTCACCGGCATGGAGCCTAGGAGCTTTTGTGCATGTGGAGCTGTGGCAGAGCATGGCCTAGACACCCATCCCCCAGGGCTCCCCACCTCCCTACAGGCAGCTCTAGCCTCAGCTGATTGCTGGCCCAAGAGAGAGTGTGGCTGGCTTCCCTGTGGGACTGGGAAACTTCCAGGGCCCCTGCCTGGCCACCCTGCAGGAGGTGTGCACAGAGTAGCCTCTGCTGCCAAGCCTGGGTGCTTTGCTTCACCTGAGTACCTTCCTGGTGGCCTGGGAGCACTTTGGATCCCCCAGAACAGCTGGGGCCCAATCTCAAGGGTCTGGAGGATGAAGCTGAAAGCCAGTCCTAGCTCCCCAAAACTACACAAATACATGGAAATTGAACAGCTTGCTCCAGAATAACTCCTCGGTGAACAATAAAATTAAGGAAGAAATAAAAAAATTCTTTGAAATAAATGAAAATAGGGACACAGCTTACCAAAATCTCTGGAACACAGCTAGAACAGTATTAAGAGGAAAGTTTATAGCACTAAGAACCTTCAGCAAGAAATTAGAAAGGTCTCAAATTAACAATGTACCTTTGCAACTAGAGGAACTAGAAAAAAACAAGCCAACCCCAAAGCAAGCAGAAGATAATAAATATCTAAAATTAGAGAAGAACTGAATGAAATTTAGACACAAAAATCCATAGAAAAGATCAATGAAACAAAGTGTTTTTTCTTCAAAAGAATAAACAAGATCAGTAAACCACTAGCTATATTAACAAAGAAAAAAAGAGAAGATCTAAATAAGTACAATCAGAAATGACAAAGAAGACGTTGCAACTGATCCCACAAAAATACAAAAGATCCTCAGAGACTATTAGGAACAGCTCTATGTACACAAATTAAGAAAACCTAGAGAAAATGGATAAATTCCTGGAAACACACAAATTCCCAATATTGAACCAGAAAGAAAATGAAAACTTGAACAGACCAATAAGTTCCAAAATTATATCAGTATTAAAGAAACTGCCAACCCCAAAAGAAAAAAAAGAAAAAGAAAAAGAAAAGCCCTGGACCAGATGGATTCACAGACAAATTCTCTCAGACATAAAAAGAAGAACTGGTACCAATCATATTGAAACTATTCAAAAAAATCGAAAAGGAAGGGTACCTCTCTAACTTATCCTATGAAGCCAGAATCAGTCTGATACCAAAATCTGGCAGAGACACAACAAAAAAAGAAAACTTCAGGCCAATATACCTAACGAACATAGGTGCGAAAATTCTCAACAAAATACTAGCAAACTGAATCCAGCAGCACATCAAAAAGTTAATTTACTACAATAAGGCAGGCTTTACTCCTGGGATTCAAGGCTGGTTGAACATATGCAAATCAATAAATGTGATCCACCACAGTAACAGAATTAAAAGCAAAACCCATATGATCATCTCAGTAGATGCAAAAAAAAGCTTTCAATAAAATCCAACATCCCTTCATGATAAAAGCCCTCAACAAACTAGGCATCTAAGGTACATACCTCAAAATAATAAGAGCCATCTACACCAAACCCACAGCCAACAGCATACTGACCGGGCAAAAGCCAGAAGCATTCCCCCTAAGAACAAAAACAAGACAATGATGCCTACTCTCACTGCTGCTATTCAATGTAGTACTAACAGTCCTAGCCAGAGCAATTAGGCAAGAGGAAGAAATAAAAGACATCCGCGGCTGGGTGTGGTGGCTCACACCTGTAATCCCAGCACTTTGGGAGGCCGAGGCGGGCAGATCACGAGGTCAGGAGATCGAGACCATCCTGGCTAACACAGTGAAACCCTGTCTCTACTAAAAATACAAAAACAAAAACAACAAACAAACAAACAAACAAAGACATCCGCATGGGAAAAAGAAGAGGTCAAATTATCTCTCTTCACTGACAGTGTGATTCTCTCTTTTTTTGAAACTGAGTCTCCCTCTGTTGCCCAGGCTGGAGTGCAGTAGCACCATCTCAGCTCACTGCAGCCTCTGCCTCCTGGGTTCAAGTGATTCACCTGCCTCAGCCTCCAGAGTAGCTAGGATTACAGGTATTCACCACCACGCCCGGCTAATTTTTGTATTTTTTAGTAGAGATGGGGTTTCACCCTGTTGGCCAGGCTGGTCTTGAACTCCTGACCTCAAGTGATCTGCCTGCCTCAGCCTCCCAAAGTGCTGAGATTACAGGTGTAAGCCACCATGCTTGGCCACTGATAATATGATTCTATATCTAGAAAACCCTAAAGACTCTGCCAAAAGGCCCGTCAAACTGCTAAATGACTTCAGTAATGTTTCAGGGTACAAAAATAATGTACAAAAATCAATAGCATTTCTATATATATCTGAGTACCTCAGCCTCGAAATACATTTTTAAACTATTTTTTTCCTTTCCTTCCTAATCTCAGAATGTAGCCTTATAGTGTAAGACTCTTTGTTATGCCCTTTCCCTACAGGCATATCTGTGTACAGTGCTTGCTCATCTAACTATGTGCTTGCTTAGAAATTCCAGGAGCCAATTTTGAAACAAACCAGGCAGAGAGACCAAGCCGCAGATCTTCCCACTCAAGGGGAGTTACGCCCAAGTCCGGATGATGTAAATCAGATCTCTAGATGGGAGATTACTTGAGATAACTATGGGAACAAGACATGCAGATATGCACTCCCTTTTCACTACTCATGTCTATATCCCACACCTTTTTCCTTCTTAAACCCCTTCACTCGGCCCAGAAGGCTGAGATGGCTCTTTTGAGGCTTATGCCCAGACATTCTCCCATTTGCTAGCATTTGACCAATAAAAGTTGCTTTCCTTTCACCACACCTCAGTTCTCATGCTTTGACTTCTGAGAGGAGAGCAGCTGGACTTGAGCTGGTTACATATACACCAATAATGTTCAAGCTGAGAGCCAAATCAAGAACACAATCCCATTTACAATAGCCACACACAAAAATGAAATACCTAGGAATACAGCTAACCAAGAAGGTTAAAGATCTCTACAAACCTGACAATGTTGGTGTTGTCGTGTTTGGAAATGATTAACTAATTAAGGAAGGAGCTAGAATGAAGAGGACAAGAGCCATTGTGGACATTCCAGTTGGTGAGGAGCTGTTGGGTCATGTGGTTGATGCCCTTCGTAATGCCATTGATGGAAAGGGTCCATTTGGTTCCAAGAACCATAGGTGAGTTGGTCTGAAAGCCCCTGGAATCATTCCTCAAATTTCAGTGCAGGAACCAATGCAGACTGGCATTAAGGCTGTAAATAGCTTGGTGCCAATTGGCCATGGTCAGTGTGAGCTGATTATTGGTAATGGACAGACTGGGAAAATCTCAATTGCTATTGACACAATCATTAACCAGAAATGTTTCAATGATGGATCTGATGAAAAGAAGAAGCTGTACTGTGTCTATGTTGTTATTGGTCAAAAGAGATCCACTGTTGCCCAGTTGGTGAAGAGACTTACGATGCAGATGCCATGAATTACACCATCGTGGTGTCAGCTACGGCCTCAGATGCTGCCCCACTTCAGTAACTGGCTCCTTACACTGGCTGTTCCATGGGAGAGTATTTTAGAGACAATGGCCAACATGCTTTGACCATCTATGACAACTTATCCAAACAGGCTGTTGCTTACCATCAGATGTTTCTGTTGCTCTGCCAACCCCCTGGTTGTGAGGCCTATCCTGGTGTTGTGTTCTACCTATGCTCCCAGTTGCTGGAGAGAGCAGCCCAGATGAACAATGCTTTTGGTGGTGGCTCCTTGACTGCTTTGCCAGTCATAGAAACAGACTGGTGATGTGTCTGCTTACATTCCAATGAATGTCATTTCTATCACGAAC
The DNA here is from genome assembly GCF_000001405.40 of Homo sapiens. NCBI lineage: Eukaryota > Metazoa > Chordata > Mammalia > Primates > Hominidae > Homo > Homo sapiens. The sequence continues at coordinate 39,654,688 of NC_000009.12, read as the reverse complement.
GGACAGATCTTCTTGGAAACAGAATTGTTCTACAAAGGTATCCACCCTGCCATTAATGTCGGTCTGTCTGTGTCTCGTGTCAGATCTGCTGCCCAAACCAGGGCTATGAAGCAGGTGGCAGGTACCATGAAGCTGGAAGTGGCTCAGTATCTGAGGTCACCACTTTTGCCCAGTTCAGTTCTGACCTCGATGCTGCCACTCAACAACTTTTGAGTTGTGGTGTGTGTCTAACTGAGTTGCTGAAGCAAAGACAGTATACTCCCATGGCTATTGAAGAACAAGTGGCTGTTATCCATGTGGGTATTAGGGGCTATCTTGATAAACGGGAGCCCAGCAAGATTACAAAGTTTGAGAATGCTTTCTTGTCTCATGTCAGCTGGCACCAAGCCCTGTTGGGCACTACCAGGGCTGATGGAAAGATCTCAGAAGAATCAGATGCTGAATTTGAAGCTTAAACGCCTGTGGATTTACATCAAATACCAGTTCAGTTTTGTCATTGTTTATTCTAGTAGATTAGTTTCATTTGTGAAAGGGTTACTCTCATACTCCTTATGTACAGAAATCACATGAAAAGTAAAGGTTCCATAATGTGAAAAAGAAAAAAGATCTCTACAAGGAGAACTGCCAACCACTGCTGGAAGAAATCACAGATGACACAAATAAATAAAAAAAATTTCCATGCTGATGGATTGGAAGAATCAATATTGTTAAAATGACCATGCTGCCCAAAGCAGTTTAAAGATTTAATGCTATAACTACCAATGTCATTTTTCACAGAACTAGAAAAAACTATTCTAAAATTCATATAGAATCAAAAAACAGCCCGAATAGCTAAAGCAATCCTAAGCAAAAAGAACAAAGCTGGAGGCATCACACTACCCAACTTCAAACTATACTATAAGGCTACAGTAAGCAAAACAGCTTGGTCCTGGTACAAAAAAAGACAGATGAATGGAACAGAATAGATAATCCAGAAGCAGTTCTGCACACCTATAGCCATCTGCTCTTTGACAAAGCCCACAAAAAAATGGGAAAAGGGTCCCCTATTCAATAAATAGTGCTGAAATAACTAGCTAGCCATATGCAGAACAATGAAACTGGACCCCTACCTTTTATCGTATACAAAAATTAACTCAAAATGAATTCAAGATTTAAATGTATGACCTCAAACTATAAGAATCCTGGAAGAAAATCTAGGAAAAACAGTATTCTGGACATCAGCCTTGGCAAAGAATTTTTGGCTAAGTCCCCAAAAGCAATTGCAACAAAACCAAAAACTGACATGTGGGACCCAATTAGACTAAAAAGCTCCTGCTCATCGAAAGAAACTGTCAGTAAACAGACAACCTACATAATAGGAGAAAATATTTGCAAAGTATGCATCTAACAAAGGTCTAATATCCAGAACCTATGAGGAGCTCAAACAAATCAAGAAAAAACAAACAAATAACCCCATTAAAAAATGGGCAAAGGACATGGACAGATACTTCTCAAAAGAAGGCATACAAGTGGCCAACAAACATATGAAAAAATGTCCAACATCACTATCATCAGAGCAATGCAAATCAAAACTACAATAAGATACCACCTCACCCCAGTCAGAATGGCTATTATGAAAAGGTCAAAAAACAACAGATGCTGGTGAGGCTGTGTGTGCATAAAAGGGAATGCTTATAAACTGTTGAGGGGAATGTAAACTGGTTCAGCCACTGTGGAAAGCAATTGAAGATTTCTCAAAGAACTTAGAACTACCATTTAACCTACCAATCCCATTATTGGGCATATACCCAAGGGAAAATAAATCATTCTACCAAAAAGACACATACACTTGTATGTTCATAACAGCATTATTCGCAATAGCAAAGACATGGAATTAACCTGGGTGCTTATCAACAGTAGATTGAATTTTAAAAATGTAGTAGTAGTACATATACACCACAGAATACTACACAGCTATAGAAAAGAATGAAATCATGTCCTTTTCAGAAACATGGATGCAACTGGAGGCCATAACCCTAAGTAAATTGTTATAATATAGGAATGGAAAACCAAATACAGCTTGTTCTCACTTGTAAGTGGGAGCTAAACACTGAGTACACATTGACATAAATATGGTAACACTAGGCACTGTGAACTACTGGAAGGGGCAGGAGGGAGGGGAGATGGGTTGAAAAACTGCCTGTTAGGTAATATGCTCACTACCTGGGTGATGGAATCCATATCCTAAACATCAGCATTATTCCACATACCTGTGTAAAAACTTGCAGCTATGTCCCCTGAATATAAAATAAAATCAAAATTATTTTTTTAAAAAGAAATTGTTGTCATTACAGGAAGTGGTAGATATTTTGGGTTCTGCCTAGGCTGTTTCTGAATCAGAAGGGAGTCCATATGATTCTGTTTGACATAAGTATCCCTGCTCAAACCATTCTGGAAGGAATCAACTTTATACATGGAGACATCTGTCATCTCTCTGAGGTAGAGAAAGCCTTCCAGGATATAAATGTTACCTGTGGGTTCCATATTGTCTTTTATGTTATGTCAGGGTGGAAACAATTGAATCAAAAACTGCTTGAAGAAGTCAATGTGGGGGACACAGGCAATGTCCTCCAGGCTTGCAGGAGGATAGGAGTAATAAAATTAGTTTACACTAGTGCTTTTAATGCATATTTGGAGGTGAAATGGTCAGAAATGAAGATGAATCTGTCTTTCTTAGCTCTTCACCTCTAAAGCAATCACTACTCTCAGACAAAATTGACTATGGACAAAAAGATAGTGGAAGTAAATGGTGTTTTTCCTCCCCTACATCCCTAACATCCTGAATCCCTTCCCTTAAGTCTGTGACCACTGGGATACTTGGTCCCACTAAGATAGCTTTCCTCCACTATGATTCCTCATCTACATGTTCAGTGTCATCAGAAGAATGATGTCCTTTTCCAGATAGCTGAATTACACAGCATTTAAATTTATCTTATTTCATTTTTTATGAGAAGTTATAATATTGGAATAAAAAGCAGAAACAAGGAAAGAGATTTTCTGAAGTATACATTTTATATGAGCCAAGGAATTAGTACCTGGAAAACTAAACTGTAATATTTAAAATTAGTTTATATATGGAGATAATTATGTTTCTTGCTAAAATGCCTATCACCCTACTGATTCTCAATTTGAAATAAGCATTATAACTTTTACATGTCTGAATATGAAATTTTACAAATTGGACAGGAGAGGCCAGAGAATTAGCTTGCTCTTTTTCCACCATGTAGGAATAAAATAAGAAATCAGCAGTCTGCAATCAGCAGTTACTGGAACTCAACCATGCTGATGCCTTGATCTTGGACTTGCCAGCCACCAGAACTATAAGAAATAAATATTTCTTGTTTAAGCCACGCAGTTTATGATAATTTATTATATCAGCCTAAACTGATTAAGACAAAAATGCTAAGAAACAGAAGGACCACATAGTAAAATTCCATAAACTGTTCTGGAATTTTATGTCTACTACTAAGGTCTAGAATCCAGTAGGTCCTCATGGATTGAATATGGCACCAGCAAGGGGGATGTGGACATGAGCCAGATCCTAACACAAAGGATATTTGCCCTCAGACCTCCTTTATGGTTCCTTCCAGGAGTGTGCAGCCCAGAATAAAGGTTTGATGGAGTGACTGGTGCCACAGGTATGAGCAATCGGCTCATAATGGGGGCAACAGTTTGGAATCAGAGAATCATGATTATTCTTGTAAATGATACTTATGGACCAAAGAGGAACATTGGGCTCAGAACATAGCATTTTTTCCCCTAGGTCTGTCAGCCTATATATCTTTTACAGGCCAGGTATGTCAAAAGTCTACATTTGGGAGAGGTCTTAAAATCCATATAATATACATTTTGTACACAATTTCAGAATTTGTAACAGATTATACTCAAGATACTGCATTTTATCTAGTGTGTTTTTACATTATAATTTCACAGGGTAACAGCTTCTCATTTTCAATGCTAGGTTACTTTTATGTGATATTCATGTTTTGTACCAATCTGGTGTTCAGATTTTATATTGCTTGATATGATTTTTTAAGTGCATAATCACTTTCTTAAAGTTTCTGTTTAAAAACTTATGGGAAGCATGACATAATATAAATTATATTAGAGATGGAATACTTAATATCCCCTAAAATACCAAATAACTTAGACCAGTATCCCAGTATTTAAATATATAGTTGATAACTCAAAGTAATTTATCACTGTTTCTCTGTAATCATTTTGATGTCACAGGTTGTTTAAGGCTTAATGATGATTAAGAACATTTAGTGAATTTATGAACACTTTAATGAATTGATTTAACATTTCAGCTGTTTATGTGCAAGGACCCATAAAATTATCAATTTAAATGACTTGAGAATTAAAATATAATAGTTTATTCTTGGAGCATCACTTTTTCTCTCTCCAGTTATTGGTCAGGCTACCAAATGCTTTTTAAAAAATCTAGGTTTTAAATATTTTTATTTATTTATTTATTTTGAGATGGAGTTTCACTCTTGTCACCCAGGCTGGAGTGCAAAGGCATTGTCTCAGCTCACTGCAACCTGCACCTCCCGGGTTCAAATGATTCTCCTGTGTCAGCCTCCTGAGTAGCTGGGATTACAGGTACCCGCCACCATGCCCCACTAATTATTGTATTTTTAGTAGGGGAAGGGTTTCACCATGTTGGCCAGGCCGGTCTCAAACTCCTGACCTCAGGTGATCCGCCCCAGTTGGCCTCCCAAAGTGCTGGGATTACAGGCGTGAACCACCGTGCCAGCCTAGATATTTTTACATGAGATTGTGGATGATAATCTCATTTTGGGTAGATTTGTATTCTGGGTAGATTTTTATCAGGGATCCTGATTTAAAAAGAAAAAAATAAATTTTTTTTCTGGTTATGATTAGCATTTTTCATTAATTACCACCTATTTTAGTTAAGGTAGCTCCATTTAATTCATACAACATTTTATTTGTAGTGCATGGTGCAATTAAAACAATAGTTACAATGTCATGAAGGACCTGCGCCAAGAATCACATGACACCACATAGCCATCAGTACCTATGACAATGCTACTTTTAAATTCTCATTTTTTAATGAGAATATTGAGGCTCCAAGATGTTAAGTAACTTTCCCAAGAATACACAGCTAGTAGATTCAGATTTATAAGGCCACAAAGCCTGGGTTCTCAGTTACTACTCTGCTTACTGGAACTTGTGGGAGCAAATTCTGATCAATTTATAAGCTCTTCTTCCCCAAAAGATCTTAGCTTGGAGAAGAAGGAGACCTCTATACTGCAGAGCTAAAGTTTTGAGTAGGTTGTGCTTGACTTCTGAGGCATGTGACATGTGAATAAAACTGGTTTTATGAAGGTAAAATCATCAGCATTTCCATGGAGCATCTTGTGTTTCTCAGGGCATGGGAACCAACCATCTGCAGTAAAAAGTAAATTTTTAGCTCATAAGTCAATGGAATTGTTGTGGGTATGGATATCACCATATTATTTGGCAGGTGATTCTTATTGAAATATCATAAAGGGCAAGTATTGTGACAACTTTTCTCCATGATTAATAAAACAAACAGATAATCTTTATAATACTAATCATTGCTGTTTCTTTATAAAATGTTCTTGATTACTTAAAGTACTATTAAATTAAAAATCAGATTTTTGCAACATGTAGAAGGCTCTTTTAAAAAAACTGTAATATTATTCTATATTGTATTTCTCTAGGTATAATATCACATCACCATAATCTGCATGGTCTAATAAAATAGTAAACTGTTTCCCAATAAATAGCTTTCCCACAATATGGAAACATTGGCAATGTTTTGTTTTGTTTTTTTGTTTGTTTTGTTTTGAGATGGAGTCTCGCTCTGTCACCCAGACTGGAGTGCAGTGGCATGATCTCGGCTCACTACTACTTCCGCCTTCTGGGTTCAAGCGATTCTGCTGCCTCCACCTTCTGGGTTCAAGCGATTCTCCTGCCTCAGCCTCCTGATTAGCTGGGACTACAGGCATGTGCCACTACACCAGGCCAATTTTTTTGTATTTTTAGTAGAGATGAGGTTTCACCGTGTTAGCCAGGGTGATCTGGAACTCCTGACCTTGTGATCCGCCTGCCTCAGCCTCCCAAAGTGCTGGGATTACACGCATGAGCCACCACATCCAGCCGGCAATGTTTTTTAACATGTAGTTTAGTCTTCAGACCCTCTCAAATTACTTACTGAATTAAAGTATGCCTTTTATAAGAAACAACATTCAGTAATATAAAAATAAACTCTCATGTCTTCTTTACTTTCCATTTAATTTAAGGTACATTTTGGAGGACATTCTTGTGCTTACTTCATGTAACCTCACTTGCTTTTAGGTGAATTCAAAATTCTGATGTTAATCCCTTGTATTAGGGTTCTCTAGAGGAACAGAAGTAATAGGATATATGTATATACGAAAGGGAATTTATTAAGGAGTATTGACTCAGACGATCACAAGGTAAAATTCCAGGATAGGCTGTCTGCAAGTTGAGGAGCAAGCAAGCCAGTGGTGGTTCCGTCTGAGTCCCCAAACCTCAAAAGTAGGGAAGCTGACAGCGCAGCCTTCAGTCTGTGGCCAAAGGCTCAAGAGCCCCTGGAAAACCACTGGTGTAAGTCCAAGAGTCCAAAAGCTGAAGAACTTGGAGTCTGATGTTCGAGGGCAGGAAGCATCCAGCACAGGAGAAAGATGAAAGCTGGAAGACTCAGTAGTCTGCTCTTCCATCTTCTCCTGCCTCCTCGCTGGCAGCTGATTAGATGGTGCCCACCAGATTGAGGGTGGATCTGCCTCTCCCAGATCACTGACTCAAATGTTAATTTCCTTTGGCAACACCCTCACAGACACACCCAGGAACAATACTTTGCATCCTTCAATCTAATCAAGTTGACACTCAATATTAACCATCTTCTTACTGAGCAGTTAACTCATAATAACACTGCCAAAGAGACCTCTAACAGTTAACAGAAGCATTGTTTGTTGTCCTAAGTCTGTCATAATATTCTGTATAACCTTTGAAGAAACATTTAAATTTTCCTCTTTCAAGCAATGAAATGTGCATTCCTTAAATTGAAAGAACATGAGCCTCCTTGATGCGTTGCATGACATGGTGGGAAAGGTGAGCCCCTGAGTCAGAGGACTCATCCCGGATCCCATTCTCTCACAGGCTTGTGAAAGCAGAAGTCACCTTCCTTCTGACCTTGGCATGTATCCTGCTTCAAGAATGGAACTGGAGGCATATCTATTCTGATTACAAAGAAAATTTAAGTCATTCTCCTATAGAATTTTAATTTCAATCATTGTTTTAGGAATTTGCAAATATATGGCTTGCTTTGTCTTAACTAATAGAAAAAGTGTCCTTTTTCAAAAAGAGAAGTGTTAATGTAATGATAATAGTAATGACTTCACAGAGCGTGTGTTCTGTTCCAAGCACTTTAAGCATATTAACAATTTAATCCTCACAGTAATCCTTGGAGGATGATATCATCCTGATTTTGCAAGTGAGACAACTGAGGCACAGAAAGGCCAAGCCTTATACAGCAGAGCTGGTATTTGAACCCAGGATGTCTGGCTCTTAATGCTGTTAGTTTACATTCTTAACTGTGGGCCAGATGTGTGTAACTGACTATCAAACGTGGTTCTGACACAAAACTCTACATCTAAATTCCAATCTCCATTTTACATTTCTGCTAACCTGATGGGGGAAAAACTTTTATTTTAATATGACCAGGGATCCACATTTTGAAAAATATTGCCAGTGCAGTCCTGACAGCCACTTCTTCATTCTTAAGCACCTGGGAGGAAACTGTTCAGAAGTGGTGTGTTATGAAATGGTAAAATCAGCTCTGCCCTTGCTGATGAATCCAGAATAATTACCAATGACTAAGTCCAGCCTCATGACCACTTTCTTGAGTGACATTGAGTTTGCATCCTAATTTGAAGTTTACAATTCTGGCAAGATATTGGACAGCTGCATGGATAATTTTGTTCACAAATATAGATGCAAAACTCTATGCTGCGTTAAAGCTATTTTAAAGAGCATACTTTAGGACTAGTGTTTATTTCCTTGTGTCTAAATTTCCTGTTTTGCATTTGCTTCAGCTAAGATTGTTTTGGGCTAAACTTATCTTCCTACACAGACCCTTGGTATCATGTAAATCAAAATAATCATAGGCATATTTAATTATATGACATTTGTTGTCTCTACACTAAAGTTTTTCTAACATTCTTAAATTTTGTCTACATAATGAATATATTTTTAACAGAAAAATCTATAGGTTTGATTGCCTGCTTATTTAAATAAAAAGAGAAAGAAGAGGTAGAAGAACTATGAACTCTTTATTGGTTGCCAAGCAATAAAAATACTTTTTTGGGAAAAAACCAAACCCCATTGTTTCCTTGAATGTGCTTGTTCTTTCAGCTCAGTCCTAAGAGTGGATGATTACTGAGCACAGGGCCCTGAGATGAACTGAGGGACTCGCATCTCATTCAAGCCTCACAAAGCAGTGGAAGGATTAACGTTTTCTTCATTTTATAAAGAGCACACTGAGACTAAGAATGGTTGATTAGTTTGCCCAAGTTCTCAAGAGTAGTAAAATTTTGAGCCGTTAATTTAAAACAGACCATCTGGAGGTAGACTAGAGCTGAGAATGATCTCAATTAAAGGAAGGAATTCTGTCACTTTGTGAAGTTTTATGAAGAGATAAGATAGAAACCAACCTACTGAGTATTAAACAAAAGGCTATTTCCCGAAAACATCCTTCCACATTCATTCTTCAATCAGTAAAATTTTACTACCATTAAGGCAGAAAAAGGGTTAGACACAATTCCTTCCTTCAAGAAGTTTAGAGGTTAATGGGGACACTACAATATTCGTGACATAACTTAAAACTACATAAAAACAGTATAGAAAGGTAAAGATTTCTCTGTGAAAGAGGTATAAAAAAGAAAATATTTTCCTCATGGTAAGCTTGAAGTTTCTTCCTCCCTGGGAGGCTTAAAGGAGTCTTCGTGATGGAGATCTAGAATCCATCTTTAGTTGGTTAGTGTGTGCACATATGAGAGGGAAGGCCATGCTGGGCCTGATCCAAGAATGAGGCTGGAAATGGGTGTACTTTTAAGAAAATGAATAAATAAATAAATGATCTTGTTTGCCTAGGAGCCTGCAAGGGACTAATGGAAGCTGTGAATAGAAAGACCCTTTGGAACCAATTTGGAGATGTCCTTGAAAACGAGGGGAGTATAGAATTTTCTCCAAAAGAAGATAAGAAACCTTTAAAGGATCATATCTGCGGAGGGGCAAGATAGTAACAAAATCTTCGAGGAGGGAATAAGCCCTTACTTCACCGCTGTTCACCTTGTTTGAGGGCTTACCTTTCACAGCATGGGCCCCTGCTCCTGGCCCTCCCCATCGCCTAGGCAGAGTTTCACTCTTAGCCTCTGTCAAGTGTGATCACCAGCTGACTTATCTATCTCTTCTTTTTTTTTTTTTTTTTTTTTTTTTTTGAGACGGAGTCTCACTCTGTCACCCAGGCTGGAGTGCAGTGGCGCGATCTCGGCTCACTGCAAGCTCCATCTCCCAGGTTCATGCCATTCTCCTGCCTCAGCCTCCCGAGTAGCTGGGACTACAGGCGCCCACCACCATGCCCAGCTAATTTTTTGTATTTTTAGTAGAGACAGGGTTTCACCGTGTTAGCCAGGATGGTCTTGATCTCCTGACCTCATGATCCACCCACCTTGGCCTCCCAAAGTTCTGGGATTACAGGCGTGAGCCACCGTGCCTGGCCATCTATCTCTTCTTATCAGTGATTGGGCAGTCTTGATACTGAGCTTCCCAGCTGTGGACCCACAACTAAATTAATGTAAGACCCAAAGATCTGAAACGCCCTTTAAGATGCCACCCTTGAGAATAAAGAATGTTAGATACCAGCAGAGGTTTATGCAAGAAGAAGATGGAGTGGTGGAGAAAAACTGGGAGTAAGAAAATTAAAGGAAGAGAAAATAATAAAAAAGAACAGTGATCATTTGTATTAAATAATGAGAGTGAAAATAGGGCTAACAGTATTTTACAGGTGCAGTGGATCACAGGTTGTTGACATGTAACCAACAAGAATTGGACGATATGGCTGCAACCCTTTGTCTGCAAAAGCTCACATGTATTGGCTAGTAATGTTCAAGTAATTAAGAGGACATTAATCAGTTAAATATCTACCCACACATGTTTTCTCTAAAAAAATTCAAGTCTCCATTTTTTTTCTGTCTAATACTTCTGACTTCAAGGATAGAGTCAAGAGAACTGGGACCAGGAATTGCAACTATTGCAATGAGGCAAATCCCCACAATGTCCCAGGTCAGAGAGTCAAGAGAGAGGCAGCTAAACAATGGGACTGTACCCACCTATGACATGACCTTTTAAAACAGCTCTTTTTTTGTGCTTCTTTAGATGGATAGAAGTGAACTTATATCTATGCTTTGATTTTTGCAAAATTCTTAGTCTGTAAAAGATATAGTTGTGACTAGGAGACTAACTCTCATTTGCCTCAGTCCTAAATTCAGTGTGTTCAGTATAACATTGAGAAAATAAAAATCATAATAATGATTTCAAAAGTGACATATTAACTCCATATTTTTGAAAGAAAGTGTGGTCAGGCTCTGTGCTAAAAGAAATTCTACCTACTGATGTTGCAAAAGCATGTCATAAGATGATCTTTATAATGAAAACTAGATTTCTGTGAATGTGCAATGACTTTTGGGTCCTTTTCTTTCCATATTCAAATCTTATTTCACTTCTGTGAGATTTCCCCTTATTTATGGGTTTCTTTAATCATATGCATATATTTTTTATGTTGAAATCTAGTAAAGGTATAAGCTTTTGTTTCATTTTTAGTATGGACCTAAGAAGCTCTTCCATCATAATCTATGGCTTTCATTATTGATTCTGTTTATAGACAGGATATAAATATAATATGAAAATCAAAAACAAGTTTTAAACAAAAATTGTTTTTAAAATTAGATTTTTCTCTTCAACTTAAATATTTTACCCTTCCAAAGGGCGAGGGAAGGAGGAAAGATGAAATTAGCAGAATTAATGTAGAAATAAAATGTTTGGAGCAGAGCTTGGGCTTTTTCCCATAGAGTGAATACTAAATTTTATCAGTATAATGATCCATCACAGTTTAAAGAAGCAACACATTTTCCAATTACAATGATAACTTTTAACATATCCAACATTTTAACATCTCTGTATCTTCTAATACATTAGATTTGAAAAATTCTGTAGTGATTGCTTGTCTCAGCATTTTGCAAACATCATCCTTGCTGTACCAAAACAGAGTTCGCCAATTTTGGAAAGATGTGTGAGTGGCTGAACCTCTTCTGGGACTGGACAACGGACAGCAACTACTATACGTGCAAGTAGTTGTTCTCTGGTGAGCTGAAACAGTTACTCACATCACTTCCCATGCTCTGAGGTTCAGATGAGGAGCCCTGGTAGAGAAAGGCAGCTCTAGATCTTTGTAAGAAGGTAATAAGACACCAAACTGTGCCCTTCAATGGAAAGTATTAATATAATACATCTCTCCAAGGAAGGGCTGACAATGGGAGTTGAAAGCCACCAGACAGCAAGTGCAGGGTGCAAACTCTGTGGCTCTCAAAATGAGTGGGAAGGTAGTTACACAAAGTTGGTGCCCCCATACTTGTCTGGAGGCCTAGCTGAGGAACCAATCCTAGCATGCTCCTCCCATCATCATGGCCACTCTAGGAACCAGCCCTAGCCACAGCCCTACTAGGCAAGAGTTGTCATGCTTCTTTTACAAACTTCGAGTAGATTTAAAGTTTTCCTTTTGTCTTCTTCACCAGAGAAAGAAAAAGTTTACTTTTGGACAGGTTGCATTAAAGCACTTTAGATATTCTCTTTTCTCTGGTGGAAGCCCGTATCTTAGGAGACATGGGGAGCCTGCTGCTGGCTCACCTGTCACAGAACTGGATCGTGAAGATTTCATCTGGTTTTTCCCAGGTGGGCATTTTAAATTTCTGCTTCAAAGTCTGTCTTTGTACTTTTAATAAATAAGACATTTGTACTGATGGAATCTGCAAGACAGGCTTGAAGGAAAAAATAAGTGTCTCAAAGTGAAAGTCTGTTTCTTTTTACGTGAACAGTCATGTAAAAAATGTATTAAAAATAGCCTTTTTGACTTGGAGATCTATTATGTTCAGTAGCTAAACTATAACACAGAAGACCACATGGAGCACATACATGAAATATTGTTGAGGTGGCCATTTGGAGTCCTGGGTTCTAGTAAGGACTCCACTTCAATTGGCCGCATGATCCAAGGACGGGCATATCACTTCTCCAGGACTTAGGGTCTTCATCTCTAAAGTGAAGGCTGAACATAACAGGTACCCTTAAAGCTGCAAAGCATCACACAACATTTCACACCTGTTTACCCTCTCATTCTCTTAGATAACACTTTTTCTCTCTTTTCTCTTTCCTCGAAATGCCAGTGTCTCTTCTCCCAGTCTCATTCTTAGCTCCCTACTTCACCAGAAAACTGAAGCAATCAAAAAAGAATGTCCATGAGCTTCCAACATCACATTGGCTTATGGCTGTGATCTGAATGTGCCTCCTCCATAATTCAGGTATTGAAACTTAATGGCCAATGTGACAGTATTAAAAGATGGGCCTTTAAGGCCATGCGGGCTCCTCCCTCATCAAGGGGATAAAGGTCTTTCTAACAGAGGCTTCACACAGCGTCTGGCCCTCTTGCCGTGCTACCTTCTGCCAGGTGAGAATGCAGCGAAAAGGACCGCACCAGATGCCAAAAGGACCTCACTGTCTCCTTGATCCTGAATTTGTCAGCCTCTAGAACTGTGAGAAAATAAACTTCTTTTCTTTTCTTTTTTTTTTTTTTTTGAGACAGAGTTTCACTCTTGTTGCTCAGGCTGGAATGCAATGACATAATCTCGGCTCACTGTAACCTCCACCTCCCAAGTTCAAGGGATTCTCCTGCTTCAGCCTCCCAAGTAGTGGGCATTACAGGTGTGCGCCACCTCGCCTAGCTAATTTTGTATTTTTAGTAGAGACAGGGTTTCACCATGTTGGTTAGGCTGGTCTCAAACTCCTGACCTCAAGTGATCCACGGCCTTGGCCTCCCAATGTGCTGGGATTACAGGCATGAGTCACTGCACCCAGCCAATTTCTTTTTTTACACATTACTCAGGCTGTGGTATTCTGTTATAATAGCACGAATAGACTGAGACCAAAATTGATACCAGGAGAATGGAGTGTTGCTACAACAAATACCTGAAAATGTAGAAGCAGCTTTGGAACTGAGTAATGGGTAGAGGCTGGAACCGTTTTAAAGGGAATGCTGAAAAAGCCTGTATGGCCCAACATGGCACATTAAGGGTGATTCTGGTGAGGGCTCAGAACAAAAGGAGAGCTGTAGGGAAAGCCTGAACCTTCTTAGTTCATCTTAGACAAGTTCTTATATTATCTCAGTGGTTGTGACCAGAATACTGGTAGAAATATGGACAGTGAGGGCCTTTATTATGGTATCTTAAAGAGAAATCAGAAACACCTTACTGGAAACTGGAAGAAAGGCCATCATGGTTACAAAGTAGCCAAGAAGTTGGCTGAATTATGTTCCTGCCTCAGTATTTTGTGGGAGGTAGAACTTAAGAGTGATGAACTAGGATACTTGATGAAAGAAATCTCTAAGCAGCAAAATGTTGAAGGAATTGCACGGCTTCTCTTAACTGCTCATAGCAAAATGCAAAAAGAGAGAAATGACTTAAAGATGGAATTTATAATCAAAAGGGAAGCTCTCACATGTAAAGAATGTAAAGATTTGAAAAATTCTCAGCCTGGCCATGTAAATAATAAAAAAGCATGTTTAGTAGAGAAAACCAAGGGTGTGCCCAATTGACAGTCTGATAAGCAGATTAGTGTGAATAGCAGGAAGCCAGGAACAATTTATCAAGATAATGGGAAAATGACCGCGAAGACATTTCAGAGATCTTTGAGGCCGCCACATTCTTCACAGGCAGAGTGCTAGGGCCTTGGGGGCAGAACAGGTTTGAGGGAGGGGCCCAGGGTGCCCATGGGAACTTGAGGCTTACCATCCAGGGCCGCCTCAAATCTCTGCTCCCTGCATTCTGGCACAGTGCTCCTTGGCTGTCCCAGCTATGGCTCAAGCAGGCCCAGGTGTGGCTCAAGTCACTGCTTCAGGAGGTACAGGCCATAGCACTTGGCAGCATCCATGTAGTGCGAACTCTGCAAGTGCACAGAGTTCAGGAGCTTTGAAGGCTTAGCTTCCTCCCCTAGGTTTCAGAGAATGCCTCAGAGTGTCTCCACCAGAGGTATGCACAGTGGAGCTGTGTGAGTGGGGCCACCTCAGAGAGTACTCACTAACACAAAATCTAGTGGAACTATGGGGGTAGGGCCATGCTGGAGACCTCCACATTTTAGAGTCACCAGCATGCAATGCCAGCGTGAAAGAGCTGCAGGCAGGAGACTCCAACCCATGAGGGCTGTGGTGTGGGCTGTGCCCAGCAAAGCTATGGGGTTGTGGCCTTTGGAGCCTTGGGGATCCAACCCCTGCCCCAGTCTGCCTTGAAGGTAAAACATGAGTCAAATAAAATTATTCTCAAGCCTTAAGATCTAATGTTGTTTGCCCTTTTGGGTTTTGGATTTACTCAGAACTTGTTACCCCTTTCTTTTAGCCAATTTCTGCCTTTCAGGATGGGAATGTCTATCCCACACCTATACCACCATTGTGTTTTTGGAAGCTAATAACTTATTCGACTTTGCAGCCTCATTGCTGGAGGGAAATTTGCTTCAGGATGAATTGTTCCTTGAGTCTCACTCATACCTGATTTACATAAACCTCTGGACTTTAGACTTTTGAGTTGTTGTTGGAATGAATGAAAACTTTTGGGGCTATTGGGATGGAATTAATAATGTATTTTGCACATGAGAAGGATATGAATTTTGAGTGGCCAGAGAAGAATGCTATGATTTGAATGTATTTCTGCCAAAATTAATATGTTGAAACTTAATGAAGAATGTGATCATATTGAGAGGTGAGGCCTTTAAGAGGAATTAGGCCATGAGGATTCCTCCTCCATGAATAGGATTAAGGACTGTCTTAGTCCATTTTATGCTGTTACACAGAATACCACAGACTGGGTAATTTATAATAAACAGAAATTTATTGGCTCACTATTCTGGAGCTGGAAAGTCCAAGATCAAGGGGCTGACTCCTGCCTAGGGCCTTCATGTGTGTCCTTTCATCGTGAAGGGCATAAAAAAGGGGTGAGAGAGAAAAAAGCAGGCCAAATAGGTCCTTTTATAGGGAGCCCATTCCCACAATAGCAGCATTAATCCATTTATGAAGGCAGAGCCCTCATAGTGTAATCACCTCTTAATACTATTTTAATGATAATTAAGTTTCTAACACATAATTTTTGGGAGGACACATTCAAACTGCAGCAAAGCCCTTAAAAAAGAGGCTAAATGCAGCATTTGGCTCTCTTGCCCTTCTGCCTTCTGTCATGTGCACAGGCAGCAAGAAGGGCCTCACCAGATATCAAATTCTGGCATCTTGATTTCGGGCTTCACAGCTTTTATACCTGTGAAAAAATTAATCACGCAATCTGTGGTCATCTGTCACAGCAGCACAAAATGAACAAAGACACTTACCCACCAGTACCTACACCCACAGAGTCTGCCTTCTCACCTTTTAACTTAGACTAACTACCCTTACTCATATACGAAGCTCATACTTCACCTATTCAAAAATAGAAGTCGCAAGATTAGCTCACCTCTGGCCTTTGGATTTTTCCTTGGAAAATTCTATTAACATCCAGTCATGCTATATTCCCTATCCTTAAGGGCATGACAACAATAGAACACAAACAAAAAGAAACTTTTCTTGGCTTTACTTTCTCTGCCAGCTCCTGTCCCATTTCTATTCTCTTTTGCAACACAATTCCTTGAAGGAGTTATCCACACTCTTTTAAAATATTTTTCTCTGTTATTCTTGTAAACACAGTCCAATCAGATTTTTCAGCACTTCCCCTACACTGCTCTTGTCAAAGTGTCCAACAAATCTCACATTGCTAAAATCAGTGGTCAACTCTCAATTCTCACATTACTCACACTATCTGCAGCATCTGATATAATTGATTACGACTCCTCCTTGTTAATTTTTTTTCTTGTTTCAGTCAGTCTTTTGGCATTAGTTCCATCCATATGCCACTGACTTCCAAATGTGGCTCTCTAGCCAACACCTCTCTCCCAAACTGCAAACTAAAATTCCAAAAGGCTTATTTGACTCTTTTTAGATGTCTTAGAGATAGCTCAAACTTACCAATGTTCAAACCTGAACTCCTGATCTTTGCATTCAAAACTTTGTTTACCTGTAAACTTCCTAATCTCATCTGGTGGAAACTCCATTCTCACACTTGCTTACACCAAATATTTAAGAGTCAGGCTCATTTGATGGTCTCTTATGAGCTCACACTTGCAGTTTCACTCCTATGGAGCTCAGCCAGGGCTAGAACTTCCATTATGGTTTAAATCATATGGCTGGTAGTTGTGCTGACTATTGGCTGACTCTGGGGCTCTGTTCTCCTCCGTCAGTCTAGCTTAGCTTTCTATCAGCATGGCAGCTGCATTCCAAGACATAAAAAATGGAAGGTGTGGGGATTCTTGAAGTTTTGTCTTTGGAGTTGCACATTGTCATTTCTACCACATGATATTGGTTAAAGCAACTCATAAGATTAGTCCAGATTTAAGGGGAGGTAAGACAGATTCTATGTCTTGATGGAAAAGTGGAAAAGTCATATTGCAAAAGGTCATGTAAGATAGAATGGAGTGTTGCAGTCATCTTTGGAAACAATCGACCGTATAGGACATCTTCAAATTACAAAATAAGCTACTTGCCCTAGAATGTGCCCTCTTTCCCCTTCTGTTACAAGCACATGACCCAGCTGTTATTAGGCAGATATGGACCATACCCTGGGGCATGGAACAGCAAAAAGTTGAAAGAAACCTGTACTCGGATAATCATGCAAAGCTGAGTTGCTCATCCCATGACTGTTAGGTAAAGACAAAAAACTTTCTTCCATCTCCCTTTCTACCCGTTCCCTTTCACCCTCACCCCTTGTATCTTTGATGTTCCCTAAACTGGCCAGGCCTTCTCCAGCCTTAGTCCTTTTAATTGTTCTGTCCACCTGAAACATTCTTTCCACAAATATCTACAGAGCTTGCTTCTTCACTTCATGCAAGGGTTTATTTAAATATCACCCACTTAATAAAGTATTTTTGACCACACTTTTTAAAATAAAAATCCATGACTAATGAAGACTGACACACATTTAGTCCTTTGAACAATACCTAGATAAAAATGTCTGTGGAGTGAAAAGAATAAATGCTGACTTTGCTGTTTACTGGTTTTCTTCAGGAAAGTCTCATTATTTCTCAGACTACTTCATCAGAAAATGGAGATAACAATGGCTTTCTGGCCGGGCGCGGTGGCTCACGCCTGTAATCCCAGCACTTTGGGAGGCCGAGGCGGGCGGATCACGAGGTCAGGAGATCGAGACCATCCCGGCTAAAACGGTGAAACCCCGTCTCTACTAAAAATACAAAAAATTAGCCGGGCGTAGTGGCGCGCGCCTGTAGTCCCAGCTACTTGGGAGGCTGAGGCAGGAGAATGGCGTGAACCCGGGAGGCGGAGCTTGCAGTGAGCCGAGATCCCGCCACTGCACTCCAGCCTGGGCGACAGAGCGAGACTCCGTCTCAAAAAAAAAAAAAAAAAAATGGCTTTCTTTTACGGTCATTGTGAAACTTAGATGGCCCCGTGTTTGAGAAGTCCTCCTTATGAGGTCGCCCTCATGATTGCTCTTCACTTGAGTTCAGGCTCCCGCTCTTTGTCACTCCCCTTTGTGGAGACAGACAGACTTTCTGGAGCTGACTAACCTTGACTAACCTCTCACTACCCAACCCACATCTGGCTACAGGGGAAAGAACACTGTCACAGGAACTAGGCTGGTTGTACCATCCCCACAAGAGTGTATTCAGATTCTTCTTGAGAAGAGTCTAGAATTGCACCAGAACTCTGATCCCCAGCCCAAAAGCTTGCATCAATGTGGTATTTTTATAAACATGTACATAGTGAAATGACTACCATAATCAAGCTAATTAGCATATCCATCACCTCACATATTTACCTTCCTTTTTTATTGTATGAGAACTCTTAGGATCTATTCTCTTAGCAAATTCCAAGTATACAATACAGTATTATTAACAATAGTCACCATGCTATACATTAGATCTCCAGGACTTATTTCTCTTGCATAACTGAAATTGGACCCTTTACTCAACATCTCCCAATTTCCCCTACCCCCAACCCCTGGCAAACATTATTCTACGCTCTGCTACCTGGATATTTTGTCTCTCTATGTACATTTTAGATTGCATAAAATAATTTGCTGTTGTAATGAATGGCATTGCACTGGATCCACAAATCAAGTTAGAAAGACATCTTGACAACATTGAGTCTCTCTATCCATGTATATGGAATAGCTCTCCATGTATTTAGTTCTTTGATTTCTTTCCTCAGCTTTATAGCTTTCCTCATATAGATCTTATACAAATTTGGTAGATGTATACCTATGTTTTTAATTTCTAGGGGTGCTAATGTAAATGATATTCTGTTTTTAATTTCAAATTCCACTTGTTTATTGCTGATGTATAGGAAAGTGATTGATTTTTTGATATTAGCTGTGCTCTTATTTTTATTTCCCTCATTTTCCTTGTTTTGAATTTACTTTGTTCTTCTTTCTTATTTCTTGAGTAGGAACTTAGAGTATTGACTTGAGGACACAAATGATGCTGAATAGCCAAAACAATATTTAGCAAAAAGAACGAAGCTGGAGGCATTATACTCCCTGATTTCAGAACATGTTATAAAGTGATATTAATTAAAACCACATAGGTACTCCTATAAAAACAGACACATTGACCAATGGAACAGGATAGAAAGCCCAGAAATAAACCCAGCCATTTGATTTTTGACAAAGGTTCCTAGAACACACAGTGGGGAAAGCACAGCCTTCTCAATAAATGCTGTGGGAAAAACTGAGTATCCGCATGTAGAAGAATGAAATGAGATCCTTATATCATACCATATACAAAAATTAACTCTAAATTGATGAAAGACTTAAATATAAGACTTGAAACTGGAAAACTATTACATGAAAACAGAGAAAATGCTCCAAGATATGGGTTTGATCAGCAATTTTTTGGATATAACCCTGAAAGCATAGGGAACAAAAGCAAAAATAAACAAATGGGATGACATCAAGATTAACTAACTTAATTATATTATTTGATGAATAGAAGTCATTAATTTATAGAAGTTCAATTTAATAAACTTTAAAAATATTTGGTGTCTTTTTGGTCCTGTTTAAGAAATCTTTGCCTATCTCAAGGTCATGGAAGATATTTTGTACTTTTTTGTTATAGAATTTGTATTGTTTTTACTGTCCAAGCTTCCACATTGTGGCCTATGATCCATCCTGAATAAATGTTGCTAAAAATTAAACTTTGACTTAGCTTACTATAAATGATATTTATATTTATGTATTACATAATTTATTTACATATTCTCATATGTATTACATATGAGAATTATTTTACTATAAACACTATAATTAAGGCAGAATAGATATTTTAGATACATATTCCTGAAGATGCCACTTCCATTCAACGGACAAAAAGATAGTCTTTTCCATAAAATTTACTAGGTCAGTTAGATATCTGTAGGTGTGGTGGGTAATTTTGTCTTTAAACTTGGCTGGGCCACAGTGCCCAGATATTTGGTCAAACATTATTCTGAATGTTTCTGTCAAGATTTTTTCGTTTGGATAAGAACAATACATAAATCAGTGGACTTAGGGTTTGCACATTACCCTCCATAGTGTGGAAGGGCCTTCTCCAATCAGTTGAAAGACTTAATAGAGCAAAGACTGGCCGGGCACGGTGGCTCACGCCTGTAATCCCAGCACTTTGGGAGGCTGAGGTGGGCAGATCAAGAGGCCAGGAGATAGAGACCATCCTGGCTAACACGGTGAAACCCCATCTCTACTAAAAATACAAAAAATTAGCCGGGCGTGGTGGCAGGCGCCTGTTGTCCCAGCTACTCAGGAGGCTGAGGCAGAAGAATGGTGTGAACCTGGGAGGTGGAGCTTGCAGTGAGCTGAGATGCCACTGCACTCCAGCCTGGGCGACAGAGCAAGACCCTGTCTCAAAAAATAATAATAATAATAATAGAGCAAAGACTGACACTTCCTGAGCAAGGAGGAATTCTGCTAGTAGACTGCCTTTGGAGTCAAACTGCAACTCTTCCCTGGGTCTCGAGCCTGCTGGCCTAACCTGTAGATTTTGGATTAACCAAGCCCTTACAATTGTGTAAGCCAATTTTAAAAAATAAATCTCTTGATATAGATAGGTAGATAGATACATAGACGGACAGATAGACATTCTGCTGTTCTGCTGGTTCTCTTTTCCTGGAGAACCCTGACTAATACAATGGGGAAAAACATGTATCTTGACCTGCACTTCACCATGCACAAAAATTAATTTAAAATGAATCATAGTATCCTGCTCATTTTTAATTCTTCAGATAAAAATTTACCTACTATATCTTTAGAATAAACTTTTAATTAAAGTTAATTAAAATTAACTTTTAATTTTATTTTTATGTTTTTTTCTCTCCCTTGTGAAACAGTAGTATACTTGAAAACAGGAGAATTTTTTTTTATGTTACCAACGCAGTGCCTGGTAACAAATTTTTAGAGGCTACTATGTGTCAGGCTCTGTGATAAGCATTTTAAGCACTTTACTTCCATAAGTCCTCGGAATAATCATACCCTCTTATATAAGTATTATTATGACCACCAAATCACAGATAAGAAAACAAGCATTAGAGAGAAATTAAGTCCAACTGATTCTAAATGCAGGAAGCTTGTACACTAGGTCTCCCTACATGGCTCCTCAATAAATAAATTAATTAAGAAATAAGAAGGGGCTGAGCACAGTGGCTCAAGCCTGTAATCCCAGCACTTTGGGAGGCCTAGGCAGGCAGATCACGAGGTCAGGAGATCGAGACCATCCTGACTAACATGGTGAAACCCCGTGTCTACTAAAAACACAAAAAAATTAGCCGGGCGTGGTGGCGGGTGCCTGTAGTCCCAGCTACTCGGGAGGCTGAGGCAGGAGAATGGCATGAACCCGGGAGGCGGAGCTTGCAGTGAGCCGAGATCTTGCCACTGCACTCCAGGCTGGGCGATAGAGCAAGACTCCGTCTCAAAAAAAAAAAAAAAAAGAAAGAAGATGGGCTTAAAGTTTCATAAAATAGGCCGGGCGCGGTGGCTCACGCCTGTAATCCCAGCACTTTGGGAGGCCGAGGTGGGTGGATCATGAGGTCAGGAGATCGAGACCATCCTGGCTAACAAGGTGAAACCCCGTCTCTACTAAAAATACAAAAAAATTAGCCGGGCGCGGTGGCGGGCGCCTGTAGTCCCAGCTACTGGGGAGGCTGAGGCAGGAGAATGGCGTGAACCCGGGAAGCGGAGCTTGCAGTGAGCCGAGATTGCGCCACTGCAGTCCGCAGTCCGGCCTGGGCAACAGAGCGAGACTCCGTCTCAAAAAAAAAAAAAAAAAAAACAACTCCTAGGGGAAATAAGAGGGATGCTGGGAGGGCTTTTTATTTGAGTGCCACTGTGGTCTTACTGATTTGAGTGCCCACTTGTTTCGGAATTTAGGGTGTGGGAGTGACCAAGGAGCACAGTGACTAGAGGGAACTAGAAACAAAATAGACATTGTTCACTTTGGTTGCTAAATTTAATATGTCCCTATTGCACTTTTTGTTTTGGGAAATTTTTCCAACATTAAGAAAAGCCCTTTTAAAGAAGAGTGTTAAAACATTGGTTACATGAGAACCAAGGAGGATTCACCTTACAAGGTGAAATTATGTGTTTTATTCAATTTTCACACTACTATAAAGAAATACCTGAGACTGTGTAATTTATAAATGAAAGAGGAGTTTTTTGTTTTGTTTTGTTTTCACTCAAAATTCTTCAGTTTTTACAAAACTAACAGGGTGGAGTGGGGAGGCTGGGGGGCAGGCAGCCTCAGGAGTAGGGCTGGTGAGAGGCGCTATGCTTCTGTCTCCACCTGAGACTGGCTCCCGCCGTGTTGCTCTTGCACTCCGCCTTCATCTCTGTGTCAGTGGGATGGTCTCCTGAGCAAGCCTCTGCCTTGGCCTTGTTCTCCTCCTCAGCCAGCCTCTCAAACATTTTGGCATAGAACTTCTCCCGGGCAAGCTGCCTGTGGATCCGCTGCTGACCCACAGCCAGCTGGGCCCTGGCGGCTTTGTCGTTGGGGTAGAGCTGCAGGACCTTCTGGAAGTCAGCCCATGCCAGTTCAAAGTCATTCACCGCCAGGTGGGCCTCTCCCCGGCGGAAGGGGCCCTTCTCGTTGTTGCTGCCCAGTTCTAGGGCATTGTTACAACTTTCAATGGCAGCAGAGAAGGCCTGTAGTTTCAGCTGACACATGGCCAGGTCGAGGTGAGAGGCCAGTCGAAGGGCCTGTGCCTTCTGTGCTTCCTCATTGGAAAAACTAGACTCATATTCCAGCCAGGACACAATCTTCTTACACTGTAGTAAAGCTTGCTTGTATTTGCCTTCCTTGAAGTACACACTGCCCTGCTCTTTCACTATGGTGTTCTGTTCCAGCTTCTCTTCTGAAATCATCTCCCAAGATTCCTTGGCCTTTTCAAAACTCTTGAGATGTAATTCATATTTCAGCTCGGCATTTGGTGGGATTTGGAACTTTTCCTTCCCAACACTGCCAAAAGCATAGCTGGGCTTGAGGTACACAGTGGAATGTTCTCCTTTCTCCAAGTGCTGAATGGCCCTCTCCAGATCATAAGGCAGATCCAGGTTCTCCCCCTCGCTAACCTCAAAGCGGAGCGCCCGTTGGTCAAAGGGCTGGTCCTTGCAGCACCCTTCCAGCGCAACCTCCACCATAGCGCCCTCATCGGGCTTGACATAGCCTTCACCGCGAGTCCCTATTCTGCGGATGATTCCCCCATCTTCCTCTTCCGTCAGATCTTCTTCCTTAAACAATTCCACCTCAAACACAAGCGTGGCGTTATGGGGGGATCGTTGGAGGACTGTCTGCTGAACTCTAGGCATATCCTGGTTTGCAGGTGATGTGGCCCACCTCCCCCACCTTCATGGTTGCTACGGCAATGTTCCAAGCCTTGATGACCTCCCCTTTTCCCAGGTCAAAGGAGAATTTGTCCTTGCGATCCACGCTGGAGTCAAACTTTGTGCCCTCTAACAGCCAGCCAGTGTAGTGGACAAAGACTAGGTCCCCAGTCATGGGCATCTCTGTACCTGTGCCCTCTCTCTTGATGACCTTCAGCACTCCTTCATCCTGTTTGGGGCTGACGTCCACTTCCTTCTTGGGCAGCGGCGCCGGCTGCGCCGCACTCTCGGTCGCCTTCATCTCCTTGGCTGTCATCTCTGCGTGGCGCGAAATTTTTCCGGGAGATGGCGCAGGCGCGAGTGCACTCTGGGCCGCAGGCGGGGGCGCTACCTGCAGGGCATGCGGCAGGCCGGACACTAGGGCGCTGACTGCTGACCGCGCGGAGGCTGGAGCACCTCTCAGGAAACAGGTTTAATTGACACAGTTCCACGTGGCTGGGGAGGGCTCAGGAAACTTACAATCATGGCGGAAGGCAAAGGAGAAGCAAGTATCTTCTTCACAAGGCAGCAGGAAAAAGAAAACAGGCGAAACTTCCTCTTACAAAAAAACCATCAGATCTCATGAGAACTCACTCACCAGCACCAGCACAGCATCGGGGAAACTGTCCCTGTGATCCGACCACCCCCCACCAGGTCCCTCCTCGGACGTGTGGGGATTACAATTCGAGATGAGATTTGGATGGGGACAGAGAGCCAAACCATATCAGTATGTCTATTCAGAAAAATGTTTATACATATATATATATATATATTTTTTTTTTTTTTTTTTTTTTTTTTTCAGAGTGTTACTCTGTCACCCAGGCTGGAGTGCAGTAGCGCGATCTTGGCTCACTGCAACCTCTGTCTCCCGGGTTCAAGCGATTCTCCTGCCTCAGCCTCCCGAGTGGCTGGGATTACAGGCGCCCACCACCACGCCCAGCTACATATACATATATGTATTTTTAGCAGAGACCGGGTTTCACCATGTTGGCCAGGCTGGTCTTGAACTCCTAACCTCAGGTGATCCGCCCGCTGGTGTAAGCCACTGAGCCTGGCCAGAAAAGTGTTATTTATATTCTAATGGTACCAACTTCAATACCCTTTATCACTCTGAACCACAGTTTTTTAATTTATTAAGGAAAATTGGGTAGAAAAATGTATTAAAATATATATTAATCTATCAAATACTACACAAAGACAAGTCTTTAAATGGGTTAGGCAATATACTGAAGTTGAACACCAGTAAAACGTTGAGTAACCCCTCCATAGAATTCCCATAGAAATCTCTTCCTTACCATAAACCTAAGATTATTGCTCTCTCTCACTACCACAGGGATGTGATTTTAGCATTTGTATCCAATTTGCGGGTAGCCTAAGCCATCAGTGAGATATTTGGCATTCTGTATCTAAGCCTGTTCCCTCACCACCACACTTCTTCATTTCTCTTGGTTCTATTCTATCTGTAGAAAACACTGAAAAGTGACAAGATGTCTATTTCAAAATCATACACTCATTGCTCACTAAATATTAGCTCTTCAATCACCTGGAGGTACCTGGTATCAGTCTCTCCCGCCTCTCTATGTAGAAGAGGGAGGGGTATTCTGACTGTTGGGTGGTTGTATATTCTCTCAGTTTTCAAAAGTGTCTACTAATTAAATGCCATTGGACATGTGCTCCTACTTCCTGTGGGGGATGAGACACAGTGTGACACAAAAGACAAAATGTCCTTTCTGTATGTTATTATGTCACTTTGTTCATATTCTGTGACCCTACACATTTATAATGTCACCTTTACCTTTCATTATGTTCATACGTGCACACTATATTCTGAGACCCCTCATTTCATTGTTGATTTGTCCATTTCTGAACAAACAGCAGTTTTAATTATTTTAACTTCAGACTTTTCAGTAGGAAAAGTCATATCTGATTTTTATTTTGCTTGAAAATGCTTCTTACTCATATTCTCCTCAGGATGAAATTCCCCTCATCCTGATACTCAGTAACCGCATTCATTCCATCCATTCCACCTGACTTTCTCCCCATCTATTAGCTCCTGCTGTATTCGTTTCTCATCTTATCAAGCTTAGGAAGAATATCGTCCATTATTTACCATTTCCTCTCTTCTATCATTAGTCAAAACTGTGTTTCTCCAAGTGTGGTCCATGAAACTACTGCCTCTGAATTACCAGGGGTACTTGCTAAAATGCATATTCCTAGGCCCCATTCAATCTGGAATGAATGAAGCTTGAAATCTGCAAATGGAATATGCGCCTCTGAAGTACATTATCGTTTGATAGCTGCTTCCCTAGCCTCTCTGCCCATCGCATGGCATCACTCTCACAAACCCTGACTCAGGATGAACCTGCCTTTCTGCCTTCTTATGGCCTTTAACTAACGGGTGAGTGGTGTGACTGAACGAGCATTCACCACAATCCACTTCAACAGGCTTCAAACACCACTGATAATCCTGATACAGAAGTCAGCATCTGCCACACATTCTCCCTATCAGCAGTGACCCAAGTGTTCAGTCCCAGCCAGTACCTCACTTCACTTATATTGAGTTTCCTTTAATGGGCCACTGTTGCTCTTTTCTCCCAATACTTGTGAGTCTGAGACACCCTAGTTTATCAAACATGTTCTAAATGGCACTGAAGCTCAAAGAGAAATGGTCTGGATGCCACTTCCCTTCTGCACAAATGGCTCTTTTATATCTCTATAAATTTGCAAAAGAAAAATAGATACTTCTAGAAGCAGGAGCAACCTCACTTATCAGACCATTGATAAGACAAACATAGTTACAACCATCCCCTGAACCATGCGTTGGGCACTTGCCTTATACCTGTTATCATGAGAGGGACTGTCCAAGTGGTTCATGCCAGAGAAAAAGAGAGTTTTTCCAATGTAAATGAACTTAACCTCTAAGGATTTAATACTTCTAGTAATTTCAAAATGATTTTAAAAAATTAAACTTCTTCTTTGCTCCTTAAATTTCCCTGTACCTCACACTGTAAATGAGTGCACAAGAAAGATTAAAAAAAAGATGGCACTAAAATTTTAGCTGTTATTTGGGAATGATGAAAATAGGAGTGATTTTTAAATTATTATTTTTACAAAGTAACATTTATTAATTTTGTAATTAGAAGGAAGAAAGATAATATTTATTTCACAAATATGCTCCAACTTGAAAATGCTTTGAAGATGAGGGGTGAGGTCAGCAGCCTGCTGTGTCAGTAAGGTACTTTAGCCTTGGGTCCTGTACACACTTACAACAGCAGGAAAATCTGGTGCTTTGGGAAGAGGTGTCCACAGGGGCTAAGGCACAAAATAAGAGGGCTGCATATGGACTGTGTGAAGTAATAAATTCCTGAAGGCCTGCTTATTCTATGTATTTAAAATTTAAAATTACCCATTCCAAGCATGGAAAAGACAGTTTAGGGTCTTTATAACCAAAGAGGATAAGAATGATCTGTTCTCCTTAATGGAACCCCAGAGACTAGAATTTAACTATTTCCTGGCTCCATTCCACTTCTACCACCCCAATTTGAGTCTAGAACTCAAAGTACAATTCATCCTAGATTCTATGCACATGTACAAATCATCACATTTGTTTTATCTAGAAGTGTAATGGTAACTTAGTGTTGCAAGAAAAGCCCTATGTCTATTCAGAAAATGTTATTTATATTCTAATGGTACCAACCCCTCCCTTGACTTGGCTCTGTAACCATTCTGGTAAAAAGGAAGAATTATGGTAAATAGGAGGGATTACAGGTTGAAGATGGACAATCACTCAAAACTTGAAAAGAAAAAGTCACTCCACTGCCTAAAACACTTCAATGATTGCCCATTGCATTCAGAATAAAATTCAAGTTGCTTATCCTGACCTATGAAGCCCTAAACCCTTCCATTCCTCTGCCTTTCACAGTTTATCTTATGCCAGTCTCTCTCCGTGCCATCCTCATGGACATGAATAGTCTTCTTTGGTCTGAAGATTATTCTTGGTTGCTTTATATACTGCTTAATAATAAGAAGAAATTTGCCCCCTTTGAATTCCAAATAAGATAAAAGAAGTGGCTGGATGTTATCACAAGTACAACATTTCTGTTTGGGAAGTATGGAATACTTCTCAGCCATAAAAAGGAATGAAATTATACTTTTTGCAGCAATATGGATGGAACTGGAGGCCATTATCTTAAGTGATATAACTCAGAAACAGAAATTCAAAGACTGCATGTTCTCACTTATAAGTGAGAGATAAGTAATATGTACCCATGGACATGAAAAGTGGAATAGACATTGAAGACTCATTGGAGATTTTGGAGACTCCAGTAGACACTGGAAGGGTGAGAGGGAAGTGAGGGATGAGAAATTACCTGAAAGGTACACTGTACACTATTTGGGTGATGGGTACACTAAACGCTGAGGTTTCACCAGCACACAATATATCCATGTAACAAAACTGCACTTGTACCCCCTGAGTCTATTTTTAAAAGTGATTAAAATCTGTATGTTCTCCCCAACCAGCATTTGCCAGAACAGTGGTCCCCATGCGCCTGCAGGGACTTGACCAACTATTAGGGCAAAGGCCTGCTACTTATCTACTTCCATGGTGAAGAAAACCACAACAGCTTTGGTGACCAAGAATGTGGAATCCTTTGAGGAACCTCTGCTAGGGTCCAACCTGCAGACCCTGACCCAGCGATGGATGAATGAAGTACACTGACACACAGATATTCTGCTTTGCCAGTCCAGCTGAGTGTCTGAGCCACCTACAGACTCCCTGGAGAGTACTGTAAACAGTTGCAACTCCTCGATCAGTCAGTGAGACTTGCATTTATTTAGTAAAGATTAATTGACAAAGGTCATAGGAAAACACCATTAGAGGGTAACTGACATTGTGGACTTCCTGAGTAGAAAGCAATTAAGCACCCAGGGTACATCAAAGGTTAGTCTTAGGAAAACAAGTTAGTTAGATAAACTACTCTACATTATTTTGTATTTGTGCCTTAAGCTCTCTAGCTCCTGCAAAGAGACTCTGGCTGCCTTCAGCCAGACAATCAGAAGCTATGCAAACTCTCAGGCTTTCCAAGAGAGTTTGTGGCTATTACTATAACTATCATTAATATTTTTCCAATTGGCCTGATTGAACCCCCACAAACCTCAACTTCAGCAGAGAGCTGGAAGCAGGGTAAGGAACTGCAGTTGCCTTTGCAATTCATTGAGAATAAAGAGAAACTAAAGGGACTTCAAACTCATTTGAATAACCTTAGTCTCTTTGTGTCGTAGAATATTCTTAAAATACTTTCAAGGTAAATCATGATATGACTCACAGAGGGAAAAGATCTGTCATTTTGGAGACCTTAAAATACTTGATTTTTAAAAACGTGTGCATTTTACTTACCCTTGTGATATAAAGTGCTAAGATTTCACAGGGGTTGTGTAAAAATGTGCATTTTATATTCAGAGAAAAGGCTGCAAGCACAGAGATGTCACTTCAGGGATTCAGTTTCTAGTTGTTATCTTATTGTCAATCCTTTCAGCTTGGTCATCTCTATATCCCCACACACCAGCTCATTAAAGTAAGATATTTGCTATGTTTTATGTATAATATAGAGAAAAGCAGACATCACTTTCCACAACTCATATGTTTCTGAAGTGATATGTACTCTTTGTAAGACTCAGAAATCATCCCTCTCTGCTTACCTAATCAAAAAGTAGAAAATCAAATATTTCTGGTATGATGCTGCTTTTCACCATTTTAAATGTGACTAGAAAAGGCTTGCATGCACCTTACTGTAGAAATAAAGGTAGACTACCCACATGAGAACAGGTGATTAATTCAAAGTTTGGGAGTGGGAAAGCTTTAGAGTGAGCAAAAAACGGGAGGGAAAGCATGGGGGAAGGCTTCAAGTATGCTCTGATTGCATGTAGTTGGCAAGGGGAAGTTGGAAGTAGGTTAACTAGAAGCAGAGTATCTTATGTGGTTGGTTTGGGGAACATATTTTGCTTTATTTGGTTGGTTCTAAGTTGGAAACAAGGCAAAATAGGGAAGCTAACAGTCATTAATGATATCCTGACCACTTGGGACCAATTACTGCCAATGATGCGGTTTGGCTTCCTGGACTGGTGGCTTCAGAGATTGTGAATCAGAATTCTATTGTCATATCATCTGACCACTACTCATTTGAATATTTATCCTCTCAGCCCCCCATTATGGTCATTCTCTTACTTACGAGAGATTGACCAATTCAGGGGCAGCTAGAAACCCACATCTTCACCACTATGATATTGCCGAGTGGTCTCTATTGCAAACTATATTGTGAGGTCTTGACTTTTTGTTGTTGTGTCAGCACTGAGAGGTGAGGCCAGTTGGACTTCCTGGGTCCAGTGGGGACTTGGGGAACTTCCCTGTCTTACAAGAGGATTGTATAAAGCACCAATCAGCACTCTGTAAAATGCACCAGTCAGCAGATTCTAAAAGTAGCCAATTGCCTGGAGGATTGAAAAAAGGGCATTCTGATAGGACAGGAACAGAATATGGGAGGGGCCAATAAGGGAATAAAAGCTGGCCACCCCAGCCAGCAGTGGCAACCTGCTCCCCTTTCCATGCTGTGGAAGCTTTCCTCTTCACAATAAACCTTGCTAGTGCTCAGTTTGGGTCTGTGCCATCTTTAAGAGCTGTAACAGTCACAGCGAAGGTCTGTGGCTTTATTCTTGAAGTCAGCGAGACCATGAACCCACCAGTAGGAACCAACTCCGGACACAGTATGGCAATGATCTCTGGTGAGAACAGCTGCCCAGTAGAATGTAAGACTTGGCAGAGGATGTGATGGACCTGCATCATGGCAGGTATGACCAAAGTGTTGCACGCTTTGTAGTTCCATGTGCAGGGTGGAATGGCGCCCAGCGGCTTTTTCTCCCCTGTTGCTTGGTGAGTGAGAGGGAGGTTACAGTGTTACAGAATTCCTTCAGTGCCGCTTCACCAGCTGGAAATCTCTGTGGCTGCACTGACTTCTGTTCCGGCCCTTGCTCAGGCCTGCCGGGTTGCTCTGCCCACTTGGCCCAGCAGGCTGCGCTTGGCTCACATTACTGGCCCAGATCCTGTGGTCAGTGTGGCTGCGTGCTCAGCTCATAGCTGGACTGGGCATGCTGCAATTGGCTTCCATATTGGGCGCTGGTATCGAGATGAAGGGGAGGTGGTGGCGCCAGAATACTTGGAGATGACAGCAACTGCAAAGCCCCAAAGGGTGTTACAGCTTTTGCTTGGGGAGTCCTGAGGTCTGAGCCCCCTGGAAATGTTACAGTTCTCTCTGGTTCCTGCTGCCTGCAGCCCAGTGAACAGGGGTGCCTTACATCTCCTTTGTTACTGCCACCCGCAGCTTGGGGAGTTCCCACAACCAACAAGAATAAGGTGTGTGGACAGCAGAGAGTGAGAAAGGCAGAGAAGAATTTTATTGAGCGGCAGAAAAGCTCTCAACACAAGAGGGGACCTGAAGTGGGTAGACTTCTGTGTGAAAGGGGGCCTGAAAGCCGGCAGCCATCTGTGTGGCTGAGTATAGGATTTTTAAGGGCTCAGAATGGGGGAGTGCATGCTGATTGGGCCGGGGGAGGTCTTGGAAAAAGCACCATTTATTGGTTAAAAGGCATAGAGGATGTTCTCACTCCGGTTGTGGACTCTACCTAGAACTGGCAGTTGGGTTTTCAGGGGTCAGGCTGTCTTTGGCTTAAAGGTCGGGTTTCAAAAACAAAAATAATCACTAGTCCCTATAAAATGTTACAGAAGCAGAAATTCTAATTTTCCAACCCAGACCAAGAGAACATATAGGCCACAGACCTTGAAGATCTGCCTTAGAATGGCAATTATCTTTTTTCCATAAGGAAATGTGAGATGTAGAGCCTGTTTTACTTTGCCTGTTTCGTTGATTCAAATATAGTGAGAAGTATTAGCAATAACACAGAGCTACCATGAGTAGCCAACAAGAAATCTAGAGAAATGTGGTTATTATTACTTGTACCAATGAATTGAGGCTGATTTATATTTCGTATAGGGAAGAGACAATGTCATTAACTTCTGCCAGAGTTATTGGTGATAAAACTATTGGTGATGGTTTTCTTACAGTTTTTTTCTATTTGTACAATTCTCACTCTGATTATTCACACAGTGAGTCAGTAAGTCCCCCAGGTAGACTGCCTGAATAATCAAAGGTGGCCACATTTGGAAGCTCCAGTCTGAGGTGGAATTTCCAGACTTCCGTTTGGAAACTGGGGTTGACCCACTGATATTTTATAATGGCCTATCTGAATCCTTAGGAACTTCTCCTTTGAAGATTTACAGAAGACAATAACTTTAGGCCGGGCTCGGTGGCTCACGCTTGTAATCCCAGCACTTTGGGAGGCTGAGGCAGGCGGATCACGAGGTCAGGAGATGGAGACCATCCTGGCTAACACAGTGAAACCCCATCTCTACTAAAAAAAAAAAAAAAAAAAAAAAGGCCAGGCGTGGCAGCGGGCGCATGTAGTCCCAGCTACTCAGGAGGCTGAGGCAGGAGAATGGCGTGAACCCAGGAGGCGGAACTTGTAGTGAGCTGAGATGGCGCCACTGCACTCCAGCCTGGGCGACAGAGCAAGAATCCATCTCAAAAAACAAAAACCAACCAACCAAACAAACAAACAAAAACATTAACTTTAGTTAAGGCTTTTTTTTTTGGCATAAAGTTCTGTTAGAATTTTTTCTTTAGTTTTTCTATTACCTTCTTTCTTTGTATGGGCCTCAACCTTAAAATAGCCAACTCTAGAAAGTAGAGTGCCTTAACTTATTCATTTTCATGGGGTTTCCAGCAGAGATGATGAATTTCTTTTTTTCCCCAAAGCATCCCAAATTCATGTAGTACTCTAAAAGCATACCTGCTCTATGTTTACTACATGGTCTTCAGCTAATTGACAAGCTCTAGTAAGTGTAATAAATTCCATTATATGGGTTGATTTTACCTCAGATAGAAAATATATTCTAAAGTAGAGCTTAAATTAGTGATAATTTTCAATATCAGTTTTGAGGTATGATCCATCAATGAATAACATTGAATCAGAGTTCACAATAAGAGTCAGTCTCTCATCAATCTGAGTGAGGTACAGAAACTCCCCTAACTGACTTATAACCA
This sequence comes from Homo sapiens, assembly GCF_000001405.40. NCBI lineage: Eukaryota > Metazoa > Chordata > Mammalia > Primates > Hominidae > Homo > Homo sapiens. The sequence continues at coordinate 39,622,167 of NC_000009.12, read as the reverse complement.
TCATGAGGTTCCCTTCTTCTGGCAGGGGGAGAAGAGTGGCAGTTTAAGGAATTGCATCAGTGAATAGTAAAGCGAGAGAGAGGGAGTAAAACTCTCATAAGAAGTTGATCAGCTGGTTGGAAAGTATTGCATGCTCTTTGTCAGTGGTTATGTCTACACTGGCCAGGGAATCATGATGTGAGGTGGGGAGCCTAGAAATAGTTTAAAAGAAGCATCAACAAATGTTGCAGTGGAAGCTGTTGCCTTAAGACAAGGGCTATAAGCCTTTGCAGCTGGGTCAAGGGTAAGGCTATGGAAAATGATGAATTTTTGATGGTTTCCATGACATTGAGTTAAAAACAAAAAAGCTTGTACAAGTTGTCCACGCACAATTAGACAAAATGGCATATTGTAGTCAGGGGTGCCTAATTATGAAAGGGAGTGCCTAACTACCAAAGGAAGAGGCTACTGAAGAGCCTTCTTGAGTTACAGAATTTATATTTGGGCCCCCACAAAAGACAGTTTCTCACTAAGGACTCGGCCAATTCATAAAAAGAGATTGCAAGCTCAGAAAAATTTCGCAGCCATTGTCTACAATATCCAGTTAAATCTAGAAATCCTCTCAATTGTCATTTTGCGAGGCATCGAGGTGAAGTTTCGATAGTGTTCTGCCTACCAATAGAGACAAAATAATTTCACCCTCTTAAGATAACTTATGCCCTAAATACTAGCCTGTCTTTTGACAAAATTATAATTTATCTTTTGAAACATTATGTTCTTTTTCTGCTATGGCTGAGAGCAAGTATTTACTTGCTCTCACCTTCTCACCAGCTTCCTCGTTCTCTGAAGAAAGCAGTGGAGATCATCTGATCCTGCATATATTGCATCAAAACCGAATCACAAGTGAAATTTAGATCTTTAAGTCTTGATTGAGGACTTGTGGAAAGTAAGAGGGGGCTTTAGTGAGCCCCTGGGGTATGACTATCCGGGTATATTTGTTGTCCTCTCCAGATGAAGGCAAAGTCGTTGCCTGTTCTGGTTTGGAAGCACACTGAAAAATGCACAGTAAAGATTCAATATGGTGAAGCAAGTGGTTTTGGGCAGAATTGATGACAGGATAGGTACTACTAGGAAGCAAAGCAAAACAATTTTGTTGATCTTTCCTGAGGTCATGAAAAAAGTGTACCAGCAGAACAAGTGTGGTGTATGGGCTATTGCAGCGTATGAGAAAGTCTTTGGTTATAAGGTCGTCAACTACAGTTTTGAAGCCTTCCTTTGCTTCTGGTTTTTCAAGGAATATCAGGGAAGTTTGACCATGGTTTACTAGGATACTTCTGAACTTGACTAGGTTCTGCTCCAGTAATTTCCCATATAAATGGATTTTTTTAGTTTGTAGAGTGTTAGGTAGAGTGTTGAGGTCTTTATCTGGAGCGTATGTCAAATATAATGAAGGAGACAAACGTATATCCAGAGACGACATATAGAGGAACCCTCAGGAGACTCTGCTGTGCATTTATTGTTTTTCTGAGACAGAGTGTTGCTCTGTTACCCGGGCTGGAGTGCAGAGGTGTGATCTTGGCTCACTGCAACCTCTGCATCCCGGGTTCAGGTGATCCTCCCATTTTAGCCTCCCAAGTAGCTGGGATTACAAGCATGTGCCACCACACCAGCTAATTTTCGTATTTCTTTTTTTTTTTTTTTTTTTTAGTAGAGGCAGGGTTTCACCGTGTTATCCAGGCTGGTCTTGAACTCCTGTACTCAAGTGGTCCACCCACCTCAGCCTCCCAAAGTGCTAGGATTACAGGCGTGAGCCACCATGCCCAGCTGGTGCACTTACTATTATAATTCTATTTGAAAATTAAGTTACTCCCCATTAAATTTGCAAGAGTGTTATAATAGAGCAGGGAGAAATGTTTTTAAGTCAAGTACCCAAAGGTTGTAGTTACAGTAGGAGATAGAAGGAATCTGTGGGTTATTTGAGATACCTGCTACTTGCTTCCTATGAGGAAAATGTTGAGCAAAATTGCCAGGGTTTAATGTAGAAAGAGTTAGTGCCTGGCTGGGCATGGTGGCTCACACCTGTAATCCCAGCACTTTGGGGGGCCAAGGCAGGCAGATCACCTGAGGTCAGGAGTTCTAGAGCAGCCTGACCAACATGGCAAAACCCCATCTCTACTAAAAATACAAAAAAAAAAAAAAAAAAAAAAAAGCAGGGTATCATGATGCATGCCTGTAGTCCCAGTTACTCAGGAGGCTGAGGCAGGAGAATCGCTTGAACCCAGGAAGCGGTTGCAGTGAACCGAGATTGTGCCAATGCACTGCAGCCTCAGTGACAGAGTAAGACTCTGTCTCAAAACAAAAAAAGAAAGAAAGAAAAGAAAGAGTAGCGCCCATATTGCCAGGAATTGCTGAGGTTGGCCACCTATATTTATGGTTAATTCACCTTGAATGTTAAATTTTAAATCAGGATATTGGGTACCTTCATTGATCTAAATTAAGGGGTCTTTTGGTCTTATTTTTACTGGAAAATCATTTTTCAGGTGTCCCTTCTGTTTTCAATATCTGCAGGTGTCCTCTTCTATGGGTCGTCCACTCAACTGTTTGATCTGCAGGGCCGTAAGGTTATTCTGGATCCTGTCTTGTTATTGTCCTAGGGCTCTGCAAAAATGTCAGCCAGGTGTTGAAGTTCAGGTAAAGTGGCTATTTCCCATTCTAATTTTGATCTAATTATTGTCTCCAATTTCAGGTTTAATTCCATTAACAAAGTAGGTAAAAGAGCCATTATTACACTTACACTTCTTTAACACTCAAATGTTGTTGAAAGGGGTTTTCTAGTTTATTCTGAAAATCTCCTATAATTTCTTCTTTTCTTTATTTACATGATTAAATTGTGGTCCATTTTATTTTTACTAGAAATGTTTCAAGTAAGGCTTTTAGGATACATTGCCCTACTTTTTGAGCCTCTTTTTGGCCCTCAGGCTTATTGTGGAAAGAAAGATGCTGTAGATCTCTGTCCTGGTGAATCCAACTGGCTTTTGCCATCAGGATTTAATGTCTGAGGATCTACAAACATAAATACAAGTTGATATAGTTCAGGTAACCCTGAGTTGTGTACAACTAAAAGAATTTAGAATTCTGAACTCCTTTGGGAAATGCTTAGTCATAGCTTTTAATTCAGCTCGTGTTCAAGGTTTAAATTCTACTGCTGCTTGCGTATTTGGGTCATTGAAGAGATGGAACTTTAGAGGTAAATGACATTCCGGGATCTTAGGAGAGTCACTGGGAGAAGGTAGGGGGTCTGGAAGAAGAGGGAGGAGTCAATGAGGTGTGAAAGGAGGATCGGGGGATGAGGAAGAGTTGCAGAGCTGAAGTCAACTGGAGGAGAAGCCGGGGGAAGATTTGCTGGGCAAATGAGTTAGTTTGTTGTTAAGTTTGTCATACTGTTCATTAGCTCTGGCCAAAAAATATTTTAGCGGAGTAATGTCTGAATCAGAATTTCATTTGAAAACTTGTGTACCAATCAAAAACTGCTGCCCATTGCCCCTGAGAAATATTCTCTCTTTTCTAAGGTGTTTTTCAAATGAACAATTTTGTTCAAGTCCAATGTTCTCCAGATTAGCCACTGAAGGCCTAAATTATCCTTGGTATAGAGATGGGTGCAAGTGCTAGGATCGTAGCAAGGGTACGTATAAGAAATGGGAGGTTTTTCTGGAGGAAAAAAAGGAAAAGAGGATTTACACTCAGAAAATTCCATGGGAGCTGGCAATGGTCAGTTGAAAGTAATATTTGTGCACTTTATGTCTTAGGCCCCCAACCTGATAGTTGGCAACCTCCAAATGCAGACTTGACAACTTGTGCCCACAGGCAAATGGAAAACCAGAATATTCCCTCTGCATCAAATCCAACCTCTCAGGGCCAAAAAAAAAAAAAAAAAAAAAAAAGATGAAGAACCTTATCCCATTTTATTGGTGACTGACAGGAAAGTTTAGGAAAGTTTGTCCAGATGGATGCTGGTTTGGTAAGAATTGCAGCTCATCAGTTGTGGAGCAAGCTGAGACACTCTTAGAGGAGCAAAGCCTGTGTTCTGCACTGATTCTCCTTCTGATAACAGACAACACTTTAGACATATCTCATAAAACAGAAGCACAAAAGAGAACAAAAAGGAATGAAAAGAAATGGCAGTATTTTTCCAAGGGTGCCAAACAAATGGGAATTGGTAGCAAAAGCTGAGTACCAAGCTGATAGTCAATAACCAAGGATCTCAATACAAAGAGAACAGAGTTGAAGCCCAACTCTGTTCTCTCACAGACACTGTGTCAACACAGACTTGACAGGCCTCAAGAAGCAAGGCACAAGAGGCCTCCATAGATAGCGCACTTGATCAGGTTCCAAAGTCCATAGTGATGAGCAGTTAAGAATGTGTCTCAGTGGAGCTTCTAGGAAAATTACAGAAATACAGACCAGGCATGGTGGCTCATGCCTATAAACCCAGCACTTTGGGAGGCTGAGGCAGGTGGATCACCTGAGGTCAGGAGTTCGAGACCAGCCTGGCCAACATGGTGAAACCCTGTCTCTACAAAAAATACAAAAATTAGACAGGTGTGGTAGCACATGCCTGTAGTTTCAGCTACTTGGGAGGCTGAGGCAGGAGAATCTCTTGAACCTGGGAGGCAGAGATTGCAGTGAGCCCATATCGTGCTGCTGCACTCCAGTCTGGGCGACAGGGCAAGATTCAGTCTCAAAAAAATTAAAAAATTAAAAAAAAACAGAAAATTACAGAAATAAAGGAGACAGCTTAATGAGAACAGAAGCTATTTATTTCTTGCTTGCTAGAGAAAGGGAGGCAGTCACTATCATTTATGTTTGACAGAGACTCAGGCTGGGAGAATGGGAAAGCTTTATAGTGAAAAGGGGCAAGGCTTTGGGGTAGGAGGCTATGGGCATGGAGAGGCGCAGGTAGGCTAAAGAGAAGCAAGGCATCTGATGGGATAGGTTTGGAGAGAGTATTTGGCTTTCTTTAATTAGTACTAAACTAGAAGCAGGGGCAATCTTAGAGAAGTTGGCAGTCATTGACCAACCTCTGATTGTTTTCGGCAAATTGCTACTGAATTTGTGGCTTGCATTCCTGAACTGGCTGCTGCAGAGATTGTGGTTTGCCTTCCCAAGCTGGTTGCTGCAGTGGTTGTGGGTCAGAGTTCCATTGTCGTACGTGGTTTGGCCACTGTCTGTTTTAATATTCAGTCTCTATTACTAAAAGGTATACAAATGGCTAGGCTTCTCACTTCAGTTCTTCATGTACAAGCTCCTTTTAGAGGTTTCTGCACTAAACTATTGTAAAAAAAAAAAAAGAAAAAAAAGGCCAACTCCATTTATCCAATGTCAACCTTGACGTTAAGAATGATGAATGTGGCAGCTGTTTCCTTCTGTTATTGATCTTTTTACTGACCCTTCCCATTGTGCTTTGTCAATGACTGAGTATCTTCCCTGGACCGCTCTTATCTGAAGTCATCCTCATCTCTCAGGGATTTTCAGCACCGTCTGTCAGCCAGGCACTGTGACTCTGTCGTCAGTGACCATTTTTATTGACTTTTGTCTCTTTCTGGCCTTTCCATGGTGCCTTGGCCTTAAATGTCCTACTAATTAGCTCAGTGGTGATTACAGTGCTGGTTTTGAGAGCACCCTGTTGTTTTTTTCTTATCTAGGAGAATTTTTTTTCTCTCTTTATCTGGAAATATTACTTTGCTGGCTATGCTGACTTAGGTCATTGACATCAGATCAGTGTTCTAAATCTGATCCTAGTAATCCCATCTACAATCTTCCCACACAAGCCAAGGGAAGAGACACACTTGATTAAAAACCTTGCACTCTCTTTCCTATTTGGCTATTTTTTCTCCTCTTGGAGAAAGAGTTTCCCCAAAATACTATATGAAGTGTTATTTTGTAAGCCTACTTAACTTAGTTTTATATACTGTGCACAAACTTTACATATAATTTGAATAGGCTCAGTTTTTTGTTACTTTTTTTTAGTTTTTCACTGAATTTTATATGACAGACTAAGCTAAATAATTTGTTATAGTTAGAAGACTGTTTTCTCATTTACATACCAAAATCTACCAAAATGAATTTATTACACTTAAGAATTTTTGTTAATTACCATTACCACTTCTGTAAAATAAAATAAATCTGTAAGAATTTTATGAGCAAAGCTTTTTCAAGTCTACTATTTAGTTTAGCAATTATTCTAAATATCAATCTCAAAATTAGAGTAAGGGATTTCCCCTTTTAGGAAAAGATATCAATAATTATATAGTAAAAATTTAAAATTAAGATACAGACATTTATTCCGTGTTGGATCCCAAATATCTCATTAGAGAATGATCTTCTCTCATTGTCTGCTATTTTCTAAAATACAGGAAGATATAAAGTATAAATCTGATTTTTTTTCTACCAGAAGTTAAAGAACATAGAATATATTTGGTATGATTAATTGGGAGTTTGTATTTCCTCTGCAATCTAGAAATATTATTATTTTAAATATCTGCAATATTATTTATTTTAAAAGTTTTTAGTTTGAAAAGACATTTCTGAAAGCCCCAAATCTGTGAGCATGTGCTACTACAAAATTTTTAATTGTAAGCAATTGAGAGAGAAAAGTCCTCGAATTTGGCCAAGCGCGGTGGCTCACGCCTGTAATCCCAGCACTTTGGGAGGCTGAGGTGAGCGGATCACGAGGTCAGGAGATCGAGACCATCCTGGCTAACAGGATGAAACTCCGTCTCTACTGAAAATACAAAAAATTGGCCAGGTGTGGTGGTGGGCACCTGTAGTCCCGCTACTCAGGAGGCTGAGGCAGGAGAATGGCATGAGCCCGGTAGGCAGAGCTTGCAGTGAGCCGAGATCGCGCCACCGCACTCCAGCCTAGGTGACAGAGCGAGACTCCATCTCAAAAATGAATGAATAAATAAATAAATAAATAAATAAATAAAAGTCCTTGAATTTATGCAAATGACATAGCAATCACTTCAACTCTTAAATAATCTAACCATCATGAGATAAGAGAATGGATTTTTTTCTACTCGTTTGTATCTTGTCTTTTTGAAAGAGACTACTTGTTAATAATATGCTTCTGACAAAACAAAAACTAAGGAAAGTGTATGATACAGGCCTGAGTCTCTCTCCTCAAGTTCACGTTTTAAAAATAAAGCATAATCAGGGATAATGTAGCCTCTACTTGTAAAGGAAGGCTGGCTTTATGTATTAATGAAATAGGCAGCTTCTTACACAATGTGATTTCAACAGAGCCAGGAAGTATGTCTTATCTCTAAATAACTCCCTAAATAACTCCTTCTAACACCAATATCTGAAATGTTGTGACTGATTTCTTTCTGTCCTGCCCTGAAGTTCTTTCCTGACTGCAAAGAACAGCACATTTTGAATGTTTCAAACTGTCATACATGTTCTCTCCAGAAGAGTGGAGTGATGCCCCACCAGACATTCTAAGTCACAGGATAACATGACATATTTCATGATTGTCAGTTTTACCATGTGGCAAGTAGTTAAAAAGATGAAGTTTATAGTTCCAAGAACACAAACTATGTTATGGAATAGGACGAAACACAAGGAGTAAAGTAGTCCCTTGTTTTTGCTTTAGGTTACTCACCTTGCTATCCGTAATTGTATTCACTGAAGTATTGAGGAACACATTAACGTTGGTTTCAGATTTGTTGACTTTAAGTTCTACATCTGAAGTATGTTGGCACTTTGACCTTGCATAATTCAAAGTCATGTCTCTGCACCACTGTTTCATTCTATATAAAGTGATTGACAATAATAGTTTTCCCACCAAAGTTGGACTTCCATTTCTGTCAATTGGCCAAACTGGGTTTCCTAAAAAGCCTTGTAGCTCTACAAAATATCAGAACATTATATCAAGTCTACTTTTAAGTAAATGTGAAGCTCTCAAGGAAGCCCTGATGGCAATCCAGAAATAGATAAAAGCAGTACAGGAGCTAGAGTTGCCTGGGGAACAGAAACTGACCTGGGTTACCCAGAGTTTGGGGTATTAACAACTACTCAGGGGAAAGTAAAAGTAGGCCTTGGACACATAAAATGTTGGGAAGGCTGAGCCAGACTTCTTGCACATAGCCGAGTCACAATAGGCTAAGAACATGAATTTAGGAAGGAAAGCAAAAAAATCTACAAGCAGTATGAAAAAAAAAATCTCCAACACCTTGATACATTTTAATGAATCATCAGATGACAAAGAAAAATACAAATTCTTGAAAGTGCCAGAGACAAATCAGAGATTCCTAGAGTGAAAAGAATGTCCACATTTTAATGGGGTTGTTTGTTTTTTTATTGTAAATTTGTTTAAGTTCCCTGTAGATGCTGGATATTAGACCTTTGTCAGATGGATAGATTGCAAAATTTTTCTCCCATTCTGTAGCTTGTCTGTTCACTCTGATGACAGTTTCTTTTGCTGTACAGAAGCTCTTTAGTTTAATTAGATCCCATTTGTCAATTTTTGCTTTTGTTGCAATTGCTTTTGGCATCTTCATCATGAAATATTTGCCCATACCTGTGTCCTGAATGGTATTGACTAGGTTTTCTTTTAGGTTTTTTATAATTTTGGGTTATACATTTAAGTCTTTAACACATCTTGTGTTGATTTTTCTATATGGTCCATTTTCTGCATATGGCTAGCCAGAGTTCTCCCAACACCATTTATTAAATAGGGAATCCTTTCCCCATTGCTTGTTTTTGTCAGGTTTGTTGAAGATTAGATGGCTATAAGTCTGTGGTCTTAGTTCTGGGTTATCGTTTCTGTTCCCTTGGTCTATGTGTCTGTTCTTGTACCAGTACCATGCTGTTTTGGTTACTGTAGCCTTATAGTATAGTTTGAAGTCAGGTAGTGTGATGCCTCCAGCTTTGTGTTTTTCGCTCAGGATTGTTGTGGCTATCTGGGCGTTTTTTTTTTTTTTTTGGTTCTATGTGAATTTTAAAATAGTTTTTTTTAATTCTGTGAAGAATATCAATGATAGTTTAATGGGAATAACATTGAATCTATAAATTGTTTTAGACAGTATGGCCATTTTCATGATATTGTTTTTTTCTTATCCATGGGCATGAAATGTTTTTTCATTTTTTGGTGTCATCTCTGATTTCTTTGAGCAATGTTTTGTAGTTCTCTTTGTAGAGGTCTTTCAGCTCCCTGATTAGCTGTATTCCTAGGTATTTTATTCTTTTGTGGCAATTGTGAATGGGAGTTCATTCGTGATTTGGCTCTTGGCTTGCCTGTTGTTGGTGTATAGGAATGCTAGTAATTTTTGCACATCGATTTTGTATCCTGAGACTTCGCTGAAGTTGCTTGTCAGCTTAAGAAGCTTTTGGGCTGAGATGATGGCATTTTCTAGATATAGGATTATGTCATCTGCAAACAGAAATAGTTTCCCAAGAAGGGAGTTAAAACAGGAACATCTCACAGCCATTACAGAAATTGAAGCAGTATTTATGTATCTCAATTAAAACCAAACCACCATAAACGTATTTCTTTGAAAAATATCTTTTTTTTTTTTTTGAGATGGAGTCTGGCTCTGTCGCCCAGGCTGGAGTGTAGTGGCGCCATCTTGGCTTACTGCAAGCTCCACCTCCTGGGTTCATGCCATTCTCCTGCCTCAGCCTCCCGAGTAGCTGGGACTACAGGCGTCCACCACCATGCCCGGCTAATTTTTTGTATTTTTAGTAGAGCCAGGGTTTCACCGTATTAGCCAGGATGGTCTCAATCTCCTGACCTCGTGATCCGCCCACCTCGGCCTCCTGAAGTGCTGGGATTACAGGCGTGAGCCACTGTGCCTGGCCGAAAAATATCATTTTTAATGCCTGCTAAAATATTCCACTATATGGATATACCAAAACTTACTACGTGACTTAGTAATTAAATGTATTTATATTCTGTCTTGAGTTTGCCTCCCATGTTTCAAATATACTAGTCTTCTCAGTTACATTGTCAAGGCCATTATTTATATTTTGATGGTATTCTCAGCACCAGCTGTTGTGATCATTGAAATGTATTCTTGACCTTAGATGCTCACTGCACACTTGACAGATTGGGAACTGAGTAGAGGTGCTTGTTAGTATCTGCATCTCAGTGGCTGGGGACAGCTGGACTCAGCTTGTGTGACTCATGCAAAGTCAGATGATCAGTCATAGAGGGAACTTGGAACTTAAAAGTGTAAACTGAAACTTACGCTTTTAAAAATTATTCTATCTCACATAGTGAGAAATCTTTATGACTCTTTAGTCTACAAAAGGGATCAGTGAACAGTTTCTGTAAGGTGACAGATGATATGGTATAGAGTAGTTCCCCCATCCATGGTTTCACTTTCTGTGGTTTCAGTTAAATGTGGTCAACTGTGGTCTGAAAATATTAAATGGAAAATTCTAGAAATAAATAGTATATAAGTTTAGATTATATGCTGTTTTGAGTAGTGTCCCTCCTAGAACATGAATCACCACTTTGTCTAGCATATCCATGCCTTATACGCTACCTGCCCGTTAGTCACTTAGTAGCCTTCTGAGTTATCAGATTGACTGTTGAGGTATCACAGTGCTGTGTTTAAGGAGCCCTCATTTTACTTAATAATGGCACCAAAGCACAAGAATAGTGATGCTGGCTTATTGTTAGAATTGTTCTATGTTATTAGTAGCTATTGTTGTTAATCTCTTACCGTGCCTAATTTATAAACTTTATTATAAATATATATGTAAAGGAAACACAATATGTATGGTGTCCTGTACTACTGAAGATTTCAGGTGTCCACTGAGGATCTTGGAAGGAATCCCCTGTGGATAAGGGTGCACCACTGTAAATATGTTCAGCTTTGAGGGCAACATAGTCTCTGTCACAACTGCTCTACCTGCAACAGCGCCAGACAAATCTGGCTAAATTTAATCCAACAAAGTTATGAGTTGGTCTGAGCCCTCAGGCTGAAGGTCATGTAAACTGAGCATGCCCAGATGAACCAAGTATGCAACCACAAGGGGAACAGAAGTGCCCAGACCAAGGAGAAGACCAAGGAGCAGGGACTGAATTAAGAAGCAGACGCAGTATGGAAGGATCCAGGATCCAATCAAATTGAGCTCTGGCATCAGCCCATTGTGGAATCGAATCAGATCATGCCTCCTGGCATCATCTCATTGCAGAATTCAATCAGATCACACCTCATTACCCTATGCTTATAAAACCCGACCCAAACGCCAGCTGGGGGTGATATATTGGAGCACTTCCTCCTGTCTCCTTGCCAGTCCACTTGCAATGAAGCTTTTTTTTCCTCAAAAGCCAGTGCCGTGGTCTTGGCCTCCATGTACATTAGGCAGCAAGCCCATTGTTTGCTCAGTAACACCCTACCTTTGCATCCCTTTGTATCGTGAAAACAGCCACAGAGACAATGTAAATGACTTTTATCTCATTTAAATGAATTGTCAACCTCAGCTAAATTACTACTTATCATATAAACAGAAAATGTAAATAAACTGATTATTTCTTTCCATCCATGTTTTTACTGTCTTCATGTATAGCATGTGTAGGATTTTGAAGTTAACTGTTTCTGAAAACTTACTTGCAAATTTTTCAACACTGCAAAAATTGCTTAAAATAATGAAACCAAGAAAATTAAGCCAGGTTAAAAACATAAAAGAAGAAAAGGAAGGAGGGCAGGCAGGTAGGCATTCGTTAAAAGCTTCTTTCCCTCAGCATACTATTATTTGCGATTCAGCTGTCTTGTTGTGTTTATCAGTAAGTTGATTCTTGGCCAGGCACAGTGGCTTCACGCCTGTAATCCCAGCTCTTTGGGAGGCCCAGGCACGTGGATCACTTGAGGTCAGCAGTTTGAGACCATCCTGGCCAACATGGTGAAACCCTGTCTCTACTAAAAATACAAAAATTAGCCGGGTGTGGTGGCGGGCACCTGTAATCCCAGCTACTCCGGAGGCTGAGGCAGGAGAATCGCTTGAACCCGGAGGTGGAGCTTGCAGTGAGCCGAGATCTCACCACTTGCACTTCAGCTTGGGCAACAGAGTGAGACTCCTTCAAAAAAAAAAACAAAAAAAAAGTTGATTCTTTTTATTGTGAGTACTGTTCCATTGTATACCATTTGTTAGCCCATTTTCTTATTGATGGACAGCTGGGATGTTTAGATGTTAGAAATAAAGATGCCTTGAACTATCATAAGTTTTCATGTGAACCTATGTTTTTTAGTTCTCGTGGGATTAGAACTGCTGGGACAGAGGATCAGTGAAACCTTAATTTTTTTTTTTTCTTTTTGAGATGGAGTCTCTGTCACCCAGGCTGGAGTGCAGTGGCGCGATCTCGGCTCACTGCAAGCTCCGCCTCCCGGGTTCACGCCATTCTCCTGCCTCAGCCTCCCAAGTAGCTGGAACTACAGGCGCCCGCAACCACACCCAGCTAATTTTTTGTATTTTTAGTAGAGATGGGGTTTCACTGTGTTAGCCAGGATGGTCTCGATCTCCTGACCTCGTGATCCACCCACCTCGGCCTCCCAAAGTGCTGGGATTACAGGCATGAGCCACCACCCCCAGCCGAAACCTTAATTTTATGAAATGTTTTTTATGTTCCAGACCTTAACTGATGAGCTTTTAAAACTAACTTCTAAATTTGAAATGTATATTTAATTATGGAATACGCTTTAATGTAATCTTTTGGGATAATCACCTAATATTTTGCCTTGAGATTTTTAATATAAATAACAATAAAATAAATAACTAATAGTAAATGAATACCTTCTCAATCTTCCTAACCTTGGAATGTGGGGACAGGATGTGAAAATATCTTAGAGTTTTGAGATCTTTACACGGTTCCCTCAAGGCTTTTAAAAAGAGTATTTCATTGCTGGTAGTGGTAGCTGACGCCTGTAATCCCAGCATTTTGGGAGGCCGAGGCGGGTGGATCACCTGAGGTCAGAAGTTCAAGACCAGCCTGGTCAACATGGTGAAACCCCGTCTCTACTAAATATACAAAAATTAGCCAGGCGTGGTGACAGGCGCCTGCAATCCCAGCTACTCAGGAGGCTGAGGCAGAATTGCTTGAACCCGGGAGGCACAGGTTGCAGTGAGCTGAGATTGTGCCATTGTGCTCCAGCCTGGGCAACAGGAGCGAAATTTCATTCCAAAAAAAGAGTATTTAATTGTGTTGATTTTAATGATTACTGAAATTTGGGCTGTTTTTTTGAAACTATTTCTTGTTTCCTTTCTCTTTCCCTTGTAAATAAGCTGTAAGAGAAAACTGCTTAATCACAAAACGTAACATAAGGCTTTCATGTCAGTGTCCAATAAGAATGAATTTTTTATGGTGACAAGGTAGGGTTATAATCCAGATCTCTGGTAGGCACATCCATAAGGTGCAAGGTGTATAGAAAATAGCATCAGTTTTTTTGGCTGGGTGCAGTGGCTCACGCCTGTAATCCTAGGATTTGGGGAGGCTGAGGACTGTGGATCACCTGAGGTGAAGAGTTTGAGACCAGCAGATATGGTGTTCTTGTTCTCAAAGCCGAGGTGGGTGGATCACCTGAGGTCAGGAGTTCAAGACCAGCTTGGCCAACATGGCAAAACCCCGTCTCTACTAAAAATACAAAAATTAGCCAGGCGTGGTGGCAGGTGCCTGTAGTCCCAGTTACTCAGGAGGCTGAGGCAGGAGAATGGCGTGAACCCAGGAGGCGGAGCTTGCAGTGAGCCGACTGCACTTCAGCCTGGGCACAGAGTAAGATTCCATCTCAAAAAAAAAAAAAAAAAAAGAGTCTAGGATCCAGAGAAGTAAACTGTATTAATGATGTGGTCATATCCATGCCAGAGCTTATTTGGAAATGCACAGAATTGATTCCAAGATGTTTTAATAATGCAATCTGGGGTTTGCATCTCAAAGTAATGATCCATCAAGGATGGTCTTTAGAGCTATTTTCTAACTCACATGCTTAGTGGAGACTCACATCAAAATGCCCTGTTAATAGCAATCAGTAGCTGGTAAACTGAAGCCTGATTCAATTTGTATCATTTCCCTGCAAATTCGTACTCCATTTCTGTGCTATCACCTGAAGACCACCCACCCAAAGCTATTAGTATACAATATGATGTGTAAGAGAGCTCCATGACTTCTCTGTGGAATAAATTATTTCACCATATTTTTTAAAACTATTTTTCATGTTTATACTCAGAGTAAATGAGCAATGTTACAACTATTCTTCTCTGTAAATTGTCACACCTTAAGTTCCTTAGGATGGCTCAACTCTTTCACTCTTCCAGCATGGGAAATAATTGTTTAATAAAAATAAAACATAACAATGGATTCATGATCCAAAGAAGACAAAATAGAAGATTTTTTGTTTTCTATTTCTCTTGACTCCTCAGCTAATTGTACCACCACTAAACCTTTCTTTATCTCCCCCACCTCACAGGGTTAATCTCTAATGCTGCTCAACATTTTATATCTATGTGGAAACTACCATTTAACTAAATTTTGTTTGATGTGGAAAAAAAATCATTCTTTCAATATTTGATAATTTTGGATAGCTAAGCACTTTTGTTAGATTTTTATGTTCTTCAAGAGAAATAAAATAGAGGCAGTGGAAAGGATTACTTCTCAGTCCCCAGGGGTTGAATACTCACCCGGGGACTCAGTGCATTTGATTCCTGATACTCATTTAAGACCCCTTTTCATGCTTACTTACTAGGACTTCTTAAATTTGTCTTCTTCCAGGTGAAATAATTCAAAACAACTCAAGAATGGAACTACTGATTCATTAATAAAGAACAGAAAATAAACAAGGGCAAAACTTGAGAACATCAATACACAAAAACACAAAGACTCACTTAATTTTTATCTCAGATAAAAAAGGAAAGTAGTTTGCTGAATTTGCCTTTCTACTAAGAAGTCTTTGCTTTCACTTGGTTGGGAGGGTACTTAACATGAAGAAGCAGGAATTCCTGGAAAACAGGCCCCTTCTACCCTAACGTGTTTTCTGTGGGGCCGTTCAGTTATTGTCCCTAAGCAGAGGTAACTGGGAAATAGCCTTGGGCTGTAATTTTCCCATTTTACCTTAAGCAATATCATAACTAGCAACGTGTGACACCCAGGAGGTTTGTTTTCTAGATAACACTCTCTTTACAATATAAGGGCTCTTTGAGAGAGTTAATATAATAAATCCTCAGAGTAAAGTCTAGGATACTCTTTAGAAATTAAATATTACTTGAAACATATGAAAGCCATTCAGCAGGTGACAGAGCTATTTACAAATAGATTAAACATCTTTCAAGTAAATTATTATAACATTCATTAATGTTGTTAGTGTTTATGCACTAAAACATAGCCCAAAATAACATATTTTATCCTCATATTGTAACATAATTTATGTTACACTTGAACAAAAATCCCTCAATGTGCAGCTGATTTTAAATCCATCATCAGTTCTACTAGTCAAAAGTGGAGAATCTTTTTGCATTTGTACCTCTGGTAGCCAAAGTAATGTATCTTCTCTCCATGTTTCTTTATCCATCCATTCATTAATGTGCTGTTTTCACATTGCTTCGTTTTGAAATTGTCCATGGCCCAGCTGAACCAAGCAGAAAGATTTCCCAGGCTGGTTGCATTGTATTTCACCTTCTGTTGTCAATTCCTTTGGTCTCGTAAGAATAAAATCCTTTGGTCTCATAAGAATAAAATGAGTTTTTTTTTCCTTTGAGCATGTAGAATATTTTTGGTTATTGTTCAAAAGTGAAGCCACAAATCAAAAAATGTTTTTCTTCTTTGTTTATTTGCTCCTCTAGCAATGTATATTTCATATATGTGAGTGCTTATGTCTAAATTTCAGGTCTACATTCAGCACAGCATCTTCATGGACAGCTAATGAGATTGCAGATGGTAAAGCAGAACATGTGTGGTCATGGGATGAAACTACTCCAAATATCTTATTAAACCCTTACACTCCCCTCTCTCACAGGCCTCCTTTGCATAAACATTTTATATTACATTTTTATAAAGACATAGATAAATGAATACCTCCACTGTAATTTTTCTTAAAATTTAGCATGATTATCTCCTTTGAAGAATAGAATGGTCCTTTAATCAACCAATTAAAATTGTATAACCCACCGGAAGAATTCATATATTATGTTTAATAATTAGTCACAAACCATATGTCTGGGACTATTTAATATTGACTTTAGCTCCATGTATATTATTTCCATCTACTTTTTTATTTTAGTAGGTTAACAGTATGAGTATGAATATATGAATTTCTAAATGCAAAGAGATGTACTTTATTAAGCTTTGGATTGTCAAGGAGAGCAATGGTTAAATATGACTAAGGTCCATTTATATTTAACTCTGCTATTTTTTTCTGGAATTGACAGTATAGGTGAATGCATGCTGATATTGTACTTTCTCCTTTGAAATAATGAAGAAGCCAGACAAAAGGATTATTGCTTGCAGAAGAGAATAGAAAAAAGCAAGAGAACCAGGGAAAGAAGGACCCAATCCACTTTCTCTAAAATTATTCTTGTTTGAGACAATGACTGATTTCATGAGTATCTTCTTACCTCTCTCTGTCTTTTTATGGCATATTTTAAGGTTGATTTTTGAACTGCCTTTATAAATGTTTTCTAAGGTTTCAATGAAGGTAAATATGCCTTTGCAAACTATTTCTCAGGCTATGAACCATGAGTGTGTGGGTCAGTGAGTGGCAATGATGACATGCCACACTTGTGGAGAAATAAATGATGAAAGGTTAAATGCTTTTTGCCTTAGATCAGGAAGAAGAGGTTGTTCACTTGTTTAGAATGAACTCTCTGAGTTTCTTTATCTGCTCAGCTTGTAGCCATTGTTTCTGCAGCCACCAGAGACCCAGACAGAAGCGCAGCAGCAGGAGATCCACCTGCATGGGTCAGATTGCAGATGTGGCTTCAATGACATGACCACAGTGTGAAAGTTCCCTGGGGGGCACACAGCATGCTTAGAAAACACACACACACACACACACACACACACACACACACACACACACACACACACACACACACACGGAGGTCAATGCCTTTATTGGGTCCAGGGCATTATATAAACAAGGAGCTTTAAATTGATGGGCTTAAAGCAAGCAGGCACTAGTACTAGGAAGTCACATTGTGACTGAAAGTGTCTAAATGGTCTGTTTAGAGGAAGCAGCAGGAAAGCTGGGAGCCCAGCCTGCTACGAGACAGAGATGCCTCCAAGTTTTTATTTCTGGTCACCACCTGGAGCCATTTGGGGGGTATAGTACAGGAAACTGCATCAAGGGTGACTGAACCCTGCTTCTGGTTTGAGAAAGTTAAACACATATTTGAAAATGGATGCTAAGGCAACATAAAACTTTAAGCACTCACTGCAGCACATTTACCTCTTTTATTTACCATTGTATTGGAGGTTCTAGCCAAGATAAGATAATTAAACGAAGAATAAAGTAAAGGCATTCAGATTGGAAAGGAAGAGGTAAAATTAGCTCTACTTGCAGATGACATTACCTTTATATAGAAAACCCCAACAATGCCACTAAAAAAAATTATTGGAACTAATAAACAAGTTCAGCCTGACGGCAAGGTACAAGATCAATATACAAAAATTGTAGGGGCCCGGCCCTGCACAGCGCCCTGGGGAAGCTGGTTTGAAAGCTCTGGAGCGACCCCAGTGCCGGGTAAAGGACAAGATTTGCCCAGACGGAAGGGAACTTGGGGAGAGGTGGCCGTAAGAGTGTGGGATGAAAATGTTTCGGGCAGAGCGGTCGGAACACACCTGAGGAAAGCATGGTGGGAGGAGTCATTAATATGAATGAGTGGCAGGGACAGGGCGTCCTTGCAGCGCCCTCGGTGTTGGAAGGGAAGACCGTGCAGCGCGATGGGGATCAGGGCGGCGGGCCGCAGCCGGGGTGGGGTTGGGCGCCGGTCAGGGTGCCTTGAAGCAGATTCTGTCCTCAGGAGCTGCAGTTCTTCCTCCTCCGCCCTCACCGGCGGGCGACCTTAGGCAGGGAGTGAAATGCAACGGGAGCCCTGGAGGGAGGGTGAAGCCGCGCGTGCAGGAGGAACCTCCTATTGGCGAGTTCAGGTCCCCCAGCTGCGGAGGTGGGGGACCCTGTGTGGCAGCCTGCTGAGCGGCTGCGTGCTCCGCCCTTGGAGGGGGGAAGCTGTAGCCCCCCTCCTCTTTTTCAGCCAAGAAACCGCTAGTTACCCCCTTATGCAACCAAGACTGTAATAACCCTGTCACCTTTCACGGCCCTCCGGGTCTGCGCCCATCCTCTGAGTATTCACTCATCCACCCCGAGGCCTGTTTTCCTCACCTGTTGTCCCTCTGGCCGAACCTAGGCTCCTCGGAGACCAGCCAGCATCTATCTGCCCGCTGTTCCCACCCACCACACTCCCTCCCCAGTTCTATCCCAGCTCCTTAGACGGTTGGAGTTCAAACCTCAGACCATGACAGCACACAGGCCTGGACTCCGGTATGGCCCTGGACAAGTTCCTTAATCTCTCTGAGCCTCAGCTTTCTTCCACGTGAAGCAGCGGTAACATTGTTATTAGGAGCCTCCCGGCCCCAGCACACCGACATACATACAACTGGATATCCATCCTGCCTGTGAGGAGTCGTCTTTACTTTGGGTTGTTTCTTGTCCACAGAGGTCCACACTTTATTTTCCTGGAGGCACCAGCGGAGTCACTGATGCACCCCTGCATCCAGCATGTTTAAGGGAGACAGTCTGGGGAGGGCAGGAAGAGCCTAGAGGGTCCCCTAGTGATTAGGGCTGTGATGGGGATGTTACTGGAAAAGGGTCCCTATCCAGACCCCAAGAGAGGGTTCTTGGACCTCCTGCAAGAAGGAATTTGGGGCAAGTCCATAAAGTGAAAGCAAGCTTATTAAGAAAATAAAGGAATGAAAGAATGGTTACTCCATAGGCAGAGCAGCGGCAGGAGCTGCTCGACTGACTATACTTACAGTTATTTCTTGATCATATGCTAAACAAAGGGTGGATTATTCATGAGTTTTCCGGGAAAGGGGTGGGCAATTCCTGCAACTGAGGGTTCCTACCCTTTTTAGACCCTATAGGGTAACTTCCTGATGTTGCCATGGCATTTGTAGACTGTCCTGGCACTGGCAGGAGTGTCATTTAGCATGGAAATGCATTATAATTAGCATATAATGAGCAGTGAGGATGACCAGAGGTCACTTTCGTCACCATCTTGGTTTTGGCTGGCTCCTTTACTGCATCCTGTTTTATCAGCAAGGTCTTTGTGACCTGTATCTTATGCGGACTTTCTATCTCATCCTGACTTAGAATGCCTAAGCTAGTGGGAATGCAGCCTCACAGGTCTCAGCCTTATTTTACCCAGCCCCTATTCAAGATGGAATCGCTCTGGTTCGATCACCTCTGACAGGGGCAGTGTACATTCACATCTTGGCCTTTGCTGCCTCATCCTTCCAGATCTTTCAGATGCTTGCCCTCTGGCATTCTAGGATAGGAAGACTGCTTCCAAAGTGACGCAGGATTTTTCTCGGACACTTTTCCAACTGCAGACTTCTGGCTGGCGATGCCCCTGCCCATGCCTAGCTCTGCCCCAGGCAGGAGGTGCCCTGCCCACTTGGGCTTGCACTCTGGTGGGGATCCTGCAGCCACCGAGACTGCATGCTCAGCCCCAGTAGGAGGGGGTGTGTGATCAAGTGAGTGCCTCATCTTGCCAGCAACTCCAAGTGCTGGCGCAGGAGCGGGCTCCCTTTGGGGCCTGCAGCTGGATCAGGCCTGTCGGAAGTGACTCCGGGGGTGAACTCTGGCATGCAGATGAAGGGAACTTGGTGGCGCCCAAACAGGAAAGCACTCGACTCTGAAGCCCCAGAGGGGATGTTACAGCCATGCTAACAGCTCTTTTAGTCCCACCGTCAGCAGCCTGACAAACGGGCATGTTAACAATGAATGGGGGGTGTGTTAACAACTCTGTCAGTCCTGTTGCCTGCTCCTGCCGGAGGCTCCCTGGCTGGCCTGGCCCTGCACTGCCTCTCATGGCAAGGGGCTGCCACTGGGCACAGATAGTCGGGGAGGGGTGGAGGGCTATGGTGTTACTGCCTTCTTCATACCCTTTGCTGACAATGGAAGGGTGAAAAGGGCAGAGAAGAGTTTTATGAAGCAATGAAACAGCTCTCAGAGGAGAGGGGATGCAAGGGTGGTCCCTGACCTGAAGTTGGGTGGTCTCTCTCTCAGCGTGGCTGGGTCCGGGGCTTTTATGGGCTCAGAAGTGGGGACTGCATGCTGATTGGTTTACGAGTATACAAAAAAGGCTAAAACAAAGGAACCATTCAAAGGTGGCATGACAGTGTAGAAAACCACCTAGGGAAGGGTAGATATATGTAAAGTAAGTGAAGGGTGGGGATCAGTCAGAGGAAAGTGCACCAACAGGAAGAGATGTTCTCAGCTCGGTCCATGGATTTATCCAAGACTTGTAGCTTAGCTTTCGGGCTTTAAACTGCCTTTGGTTTGAAAGTTGGATTTCATTGGGGACATGCCACTATCTGCCTACGGGCTTGTCTGACTCCTGCCACTATTAAAAGTACTAAATCAGTGCATCTAGCCTGAGGGCTGCCCCTCGTCCACCCAGCAGAGGTTTTTGTTTTGTTTTGTTTTTCTTTTGTTTTAATTAAAATTTTAATTAAAAGGGACTAATATAGAGGGTTTTTAAAAAATTACCATATGTGTTGAGTATTTATGCTATGCCAAGCACTTTGCATATATTTTCTCATTTAATCCTCTAAATAGTGAGGTTGATTGCCTTATCTCCATCCTATAGATGAGAAAGCTGAGACTGAGAGAAATTAAGAAACCCACATGAGGTCATGTTGTATGTAAGTTAGTTTTTGCTGCATCATAAACCACCCGTTTATGATTTCAAACAGGTAATACTTGTTTCTCAATAACTGGATGGGGGCTGGATGGCTAAGGGGCCTCATATTTTAGGGACAGGAGGAGCTCATCGTCAGCTGGGTGATGGGAATGCGACCACAAGTCTCATTATCCAGGAGAGCTTGAACATAGGGGTTGAGTTTCAAAAGCAGCATAAGGGCAGCAACACAAGAACTTCCCATGTCTCACTTATGTCATATTTGCTATTCTCCCATTGGCCAAAGCAGGTCACAAGGGCATGGCCAGCCGGTATGGAAGGGGACAACCAAAGGGGTAGACACAGGGAGTGAGAATTGCTGCCATTTTCCCCAACAAAGAATCTACCATCCATAGCTTCTAAGTGTACAACTGGAAATCAAAACTAAGTTTGTCTTACTTGAAAGTTCAAAACTGTCTTGGAGCTACTGTCCGGGGTCTAGGAATCCAGAACATTCCACACATTGCCTAAGTCAACAACCTGTTGCGCACACACACCAGCAACTGTTTTACAAAAGTATGTGGATCTGGTTGTCATTGATAAAATGCAAATTAATTTAGATGTATTATTCAATTCATAGTATAATTTTGTTGTATTTTCAAGTCAACAGATATTTACATCATTTCAAAGCAGCTCTTCACAAATTATTCATTAGTTACAAAAGGAAGTCACTTCACAGTGGAAAAATCTGGCAGGCACCACCTTAATCAAGCAACCAAAATGAACATCCTCAGTAATAGGACAAATTGCAATCGTGTGCCTCCTGATAGTCTAGCAAGAAGAACACAGCATCACTTCTATGATGCTCCTGCCAATAATACATAATTGGAATCTAATCCTAAAGCAACAAATTCAAATTAAGGAAAATTCTACAAAATAATTGGCCTGTAATAGAAGTGTAAAGTCATGAAAGTTAAGGAAAGACTGAAGAACTGTTCCAGACTGAAGATGAAAGAGACGTGAGAAATAAGTGCAGTGGTGATTCTGAACTGGATCCTGACTTGGCAAAACTTGAATAGGTCTGTTGGTTGGATGGTAGAAATCTATTAATGTTGATTTCCTGATTTTTCTAGCTATATTACAATTTTATTGCATTCAGTCCTTGTTTATAGAAGACATACAGTATGTAGGGGTTATAGGGAGTCAGGTCAGGAACTTTCAAATCATTTAGCAAAACAAAAGTTCTTTGTACTTTAATTCCAAGACTTCTATAAATTTGAGATTATTTTAAAAATACTTAAAAAAAACTCCTTTAAAGTCTCTCAACATGCTGTCCTATTAATAATAGATTTCTAGCCGGGCGCGGTGGCTCACGCCTGTAATCCCAGCACTTTGGGAGGCCGAGGCGGGTGGATCATGAGGTCAGGAGATCGAGACCATCCTGGCTAACAAGGTGAAACCCCGTCTCTACTAAAAATACAAAAAATTAGCCAGGCGCGGTGGCGGGCGCCTGTAGTCCCAGCTACTCGGGAGGCTGAGGCAGGAGAATGGCGTGAACCCGGGAGGCGGAGCTTGCAGTGAGCCGAGATTGCGCCACTGAAGTCCGCAGTCCGACCTGGGCGACAGAGCGAGACTCCGTCTCAAAAAAAAAAAAAAAATAATAATAATAATAATAATAGATTTCTAAATTTGTTTTTATTTTTATCAAGGTTTTGTGTGCCCATAGTTTGAAGTATTAAATCTTTTTTTATTTATTAAAATATTTTTTAATGTCCATTCAGAGGTAATGAAGTGTTAGTTTTTGTTTTTGTTTTTTTTTTTTTTTTTTTTGAGACAGAGTCTCGCTCTGTCACCCAGGCTGGAATGCAATGGTGCAATCTCGGCTCACTGCATCCTCTGTCTCCCAGGTTCAAGCAATTCTCCTGCCTCAGCCACCCGAGTAGCTGTGATTACAGGCGCCCGCCATCGTGCCCAGCTAATTTTTGTATTTTTAGTAGAGACAGGGTTTCACCATGTTAGTCAGGCTGGTCTCGAACCCCTGACCTCAGGTGATCCACCCGCTTTGGCCTCCCAAAGTGCTGGGATTACAGGTGTGAGCCACTTTGCCTGGCTTGAAGTGTTAGTTTTATCTTTTTTTTTTTAAAGAAAAGTAGTTCCCTTATCTCCACTTTCCCCCTTTCCTGCACCTCAGAGGCAACTGCTTTCAGCTGATTACTTTGACAGGTATGACCTTATTTCCACATAATTGCTTATGTCATTATTTTTTTCTTTTTGAGGTAGGCTTTTTCTCTGTTGCCCAGGAGTGCAGTGGCGCGCTTGTAGCTCACTACAACCTTGAACTCCTGGGCTCAAATGATCCTCTGGCCTCAGTCTCCTAATAAGCTGGGACTACAGGTACATGCTACCATGCCTGGCTAATTTATTTTCGCAGAGACAAGGTCTCACTATGTTGCTTGGGCTGACCTCTAACTTCTAGGCTCAAGTGATCCTCCCGCCTCGGCCTCCCAAAGTGTTGGAATACAGGTGTTGAAATCAAGTTTAGCCTAAAGCTGCCTCCTTATATATTTAAGTTTGGCCTAAAAGTTTGTCTGTATATTGTGACAAGTGGAGGTGTAAACAGACTACACTTGTGCCAATCACTGAGTTTTGGCCAATCAAATGTAGCCAACTGTTCAAACCATGTTCAGATAAGGCAAATGCCAAGCTGCAGCCAAACCCAGCTGTTTCTGTACCTCACTTCCATTTTCTGTCCATAAACCTTCCACCACGTGACTGTGCTGGAGTGTCCGAGCCTACTCTGCCTGGGAAGGCTGCCCGATTCTTGAAGTGTTTGTTGCTCAATTAAACTCCTTTAAATTAAAAAAAAAAAATTGTATTTCTCTACTCTAGCAATGAACACTTCAAATTAAGACAATTCCATTGATAATTGCATCAAAAAAGAAAATGCTTAGAAATTAATTATTCAAAAAGAGCAAAAGTTATACCCTAAAACTACAAAACATACTTGAAAGAAGGTAAAAAAAAAAAGGAGTAAATAAATGACAAGACACCAATGTTCAGAGATTGGGAGACATTATTAAGATGGCTTTCCAAATTGATATACAGTCACCATGTCTCTATAGAAATCCCAACAGCCTTTTCTGTGGAAATTGACAAGCCCATCCAAAAATTCATGTGGAAATGCAAGGGACTCCTGATAGTCAAAGTAATCTCAAAAGTGAAGAGCAAATTTGGAGTATGCACACTTCTCTATTTCAAAATTTACTACAAAGCTATAGTAATAATTACAGACTTGTACTGGCATAAGGATACACATATAGACCAATGGGATACAGCTAAGGGTCTAGAAATCAATGTTTACATTAATAGTTGATTTTCAACCAGAATGCCAAGGCTGTTCAATGGAAATAATAGTCTTTTCAACAAATGGTGTTGGGAAAACTGGATGTCACATGCTAACGACTGAAACTGGACCCTTTCTTCATATTTTATACAAAAAGTTACCTCAAAAATATATACTAAAATTTAATAGATAAAATTATAAAACTCTTAGAAGAGAGCATAGGGGAAAAAAATCTTCTTGACTTTAGCTTTCTTAGATATGACACCAAAAGCACAAGCAACAAAAGAAGAAAATAGATAAGTTGGACTTCCTATAATTGATACATATATGAATATATCACATTGTATCCCATAAATACACACAGTCATTATTTGTCAATTGAATTTTTTTTTAAAGAAAAAAAAATTTTTTTTGAGGTGGAGTCTTACTCTGTTACCCGGGCTAGAGTGCAGTGGTGTGATCTTGGCTCTCTGCAATCTCTGCCTCCTGGGTTCAAGCAATTCTCGTGCCTCAGCCTCCCCAGTAGCTGGGATTACAGGTATGCACCACCACACCAGGTTAATTTTTGTATTTTTAGTAGAGACGGGGTTTCGCCATGTTGGCCAGGCTTGTCTTGAACCCCTGACATCAGGTGATCTGCCCGTCTTGGCCTCCCTAAATGCTAGGATTACAGGCCTCAGCCACTGCGCCTGGCCAGAATTTTTGTAGTTCCAAAGATGCTACCAAGAAACTGAAAAGACGACACACAGAATGAGAGAAAATATTTGCAAATCATATATCTGTTAAGATATTATATCCAGAATGTATAAAGAACACTTACCACTCAATAATAAAAAGACAAATAACCCAGTTTAAAAATGAGCAATAAATGTGACTAAAGATTTTTCCAAAGATTGGCCTGTGTGCTCATAGGAAGATGATCAACATTATTTGTCATTAGAACAATATAAATCAAAACCACAAAACAGGCTGGGCATGGTGGCTCACACCTGTAATCCCAGCACTTTGGGAGGCTGAGATGGGCAGATCACTTGAGGTCAGGAGTTCGAGACAAGTCTGGCCAACATGGCAAAACCCTGTCTCTACTAAAAATACTAGCTAAAAATTAGCTAGCTAAAAAATTAGCTAGCTAAAAATTAGCTAGGCATGGTGGTAGGTGCCTGTAATCCCAGGTACTTGGGAGGCTGAATTTTACTTTTAGATGGATAAAATGTACATTATATAAACTATATGTCAATACAGCTATGTATTTTTTTAAAGTACAAACTATTTTTTTAAATACAAAAACATTACATAGAGTGAACTCTATGGCACAGCTGCCATACTGAAGGAATTATACTGTGTTTAAAAACCTGATTAAAAATTAAGTTTTTAAAAAATGGGGTCATTAAATTTTATTTTAAGGTTTTAACAGTTCTTTACCCAAGCCAAACATTTTATCTACAGTTGCCCAAGGAAATGCAGTAAGCGGGTTACTTAATTTCCTCCCTGTGGCAATCCTTGGCTCTCGCCCTTCTTAACACTTTATTAATGCAAGTCAGCAACTGCTAGTTTTACATCTTATCTTTCATCAATGTTTAAGAGATAGCAAGTCTAGGGCTCATTATGATCTGCTAATATAGTTCTTAACAAGACACTTAGCTTCCATAGTTATTTGCCAATGAAGCAAGAAAGTGGTACCACTTCATCATTATTCTGATTTTATTGGAGAGAGTGAATGTGTGAGTTTACTGAGGGAAGCAGCCCAAGGAAGTGGGATGGGACAAATTCTACAACAGAGATCACCCATAGACAAGGAGTGGACCCATGAAACTTAAAGATGTAGCGATTTAGGGAGTGACTTTACATCCTAGGATTAATGTCTTTGGGGGTTTATGATTAATATTTAGTTCCTTGTTGCCATGTAACAGAAGATGTAAATGGGTTGCTGTGGTGAGTCATATTATAATTTTGGTTTTTTTTTTTTGAGACGGAGTCTTGCTCTGTCTCCTATGCTAAAGTGCAGTGGCGTGATTTTGGCTCACTGCAACCTCTGCCTCCCTGGTTCAAGTGATTCTCTTGCCTCAGCCTCCCGAGTAGCTGGGACTACAGGTGCCCACCACCATGCCCGGCTAATTTTTGTATTTTTGGTAGAGACAGGGTTTCACCATATTGGCCAGGCTGGTCTTGAACTCCTGACCTCGTGATCTGCCCGCCTCGGCCTCCCAAAGTGCTGGGATTACAGGCGTGAGCCACCGCGCCCAGCCAATTTTGGTTTTAATTAGAAACTAGATAGGATGCATACCAAATATATATTATGATGTGTCCCCACCCCCTGCCAAATAGACACATATACATTGTCTCCTTATCTTTTCTCCAATCACAGTATCTATTTCACTCACAACCTTTATGCAAAATCATGAAATAAAAATAATTTTAAAAATTATTAATCTTCAAAATCTTAAAAATTATTAATCAAATGGATAAATTTGATATATGTGATATTATTTGTCTTTGGTAATTTTGTAAAGACTTTTAAACTGTTTTTAACATTCAAAAGGAAAGACACATCTCTCTCTTTTAATGTAGAAGGTCAGTCTTGGTTATTTACAGCATACATGGGGGGCCTTATCTGATTCTCCAATCCCTGGAAAAATAGAGTTGAATGCTCATTTGATCCTATTCCACATGCTACTGGTTTCCCTCCTGTTCACCCTGCTCCAGCCTTGAGGATGTTCTTGTTGAAATATCACCATCCAAAGCTCTTCCTCTATCAGGCTTTTGCATTTGCTGTTCCCTTTTCCACATCTTCTCAAGGCTGGATCTTCTTTAGTTTTCAGCAAAATGTGAACTCTGTGAAGAGGCCTCCCTGACCACTCAATTAGCCACTGCCCCATGACTAGTTTTTTTTTTTTTAACTTTCTTAAAGTGCTTTAACTTCCTCAAGCCCTTATTATTATTCTTTGAGTGCATTTTGGTTATTTGTTTCTTGTTTATCATCTAGAAGGAGATGACAACTTCATGACAACAGGAACATAATCCTCATGAGGGCAGGCATTTTACTAGTATTGTTCACGATTACTCTCCCACTCCCATGTCAAATTCTGTGCTGTAATAGGCATTCAATAAATAATGGAATGAATGAATGACAGACAAATGTCACACATCATGCCACCTGATGTTATAACATCCAATGTTG
Source organism: Homo sapiens (assembly GCF_000001405.40). NCBI lineage: Eukaryota > Metazoa > Chordata > Mammalia > Primates > Hominidae > Homo > Homo sapiens. Next base: position 39,594,775 of record NC_000009.12, on the reverse strand, counting down.
ATAACCGAACAGAAGCAAAATTAAAGGCCATGAGATATTGGAATGGTCACACTGATTAAAGGCTTTGTGGGCTACACCTCATTGCACACATTTATCAATGACTGAATTAAGGTGATATTTAGCAGTTTGATATTACCTATGAAAACAAACCAAATGGATGTAGCATGCTTTCTTTTTTTGAAACATATTTAATAATTGATTTCAATCATTTTCAATCTGAATTTTAATATACTTTTAACAACAGATTTCATAGTTTGGTCTTGTTTTTCTTGTTTGTTTAGTGACTCGTTTACTTGAGCATTAATATTAAGCCAGTTCTTTGTGTAGTTATATGTAGAAGTAGCCATCAACTCCCAAGCACCAACTCCAGGCCAGTTCAAATACGGAAGACTCACTTGAATTCCTGCATCTCAATGATGATACAGCCTGGAGCCCTTCTGTCCTCCATACCAACAGGCAGTTACAGCTGATTTGGTTGTTTGGCAGCGAATCTCTGTCCTGCTGCCTTCAAGCTGCCATTTCATTTCTTCAATATGGAGACAGGAAATGTGGCTTACCATCAGCAACAAGCTAGTAGTAATCATCCTCATGGAAGACACAAAAACGTTTGTCAAGAGGGTCCAAAGTTTGTAGCTGGTGAGAATGTACAGGAAAGAAGGAAGGAAGGAAGAGAGGGAGGGAGGGTGGAAGAGACAGAGGGAGGGTGGAAGAAAGGGAGGAAGGAAGGAAAGAGGGAGGGAGTAAGAGAGTAAGAGAGAGAGCCTGAGAAAGATAGAGGTGGATTCCACACATACCAGCAAAACAAACTCATGAGGTAGAACTTTTTAGCATTTAAGCTTTGACCAGCATCCAGATGATTTTCTTTTCTTTTTTTTTTTTTTTTGAGACACAGTCTTGGGCCATCTCCCAGGCTGGAGTGCAATGGCGCGATCTTGGCTCACTGCAACCCCCTCCTCCTGGGTTCAAGCGATTCTCCTGCCTCAGCCTCCCAAGTAGCTGGGATTACAGGTGCCTGCCACCAAGCCGGGCCACCACGCCATCACTTCTCCATGTTGGCCAGCCTGGTCTCGAACTCCTGACCTCAGTTTATCCACCCGCCTCAGCCTTCCAAAGTGCTGGGATTACAGGCGTGAGACACCGCACCTGGCCTCAAGTGATTTTCAAATGTACTCAGCAATGCAAAACTATCGTCCCGAATTCTTTTTTTTTTTTTTTTGAGACGGAGTTTCGCTCTGTCGCCCAGGCTGGAGTGCAGTGGCGCGATCTCGACTCACTGCAAGCTCCGCCTCCCGGGTTCACGCCATTCTCCTGCCTCAGCCTCCCGTGTAGCTGGGACTACAGGCACGCGCCACCATGCCTGGCTAATTCTTCTGTATTTTTAGCAGAGACAGAGTTTCACCGTGTTAGCCAGGATGGTCTCGATCTCCTGACCTCGTGATCCGCCCGTCTCAGCCTCCCAAAGTGCTGGGATTACAGGCGTGAGCCACCGCGCCCGGCCCGTCCCGAATTCTTAATTTGGTGCATTTTGCTTAAAGGAATGTAAGTTGACAAATGGTATGTGTAATTTCCCCTGTGGTTTCCCTCTTCAGAGTCTGTGCTCCCTGCATTGAATAATGAGATGTAAGTTTAGGAAATGCCTCCATAGTGTTCATTATACTTTGTGTATTTTCCCTGAGACAGGAAACAGAGGACTGTCTGTCAAAGAAAGCAATTTTTATAAATTCACAGCCAACGGGGAATATTCCTTTCATTTTTCTTAGCTAAATCTGTGATTTAACAAGTGTAGAGAAGTGCTTGTCAGCAAGGAGATTGAAACCATTATGTCTTTCTCTACCTGTTGATAATGATATTGCAAGTGGGAAGTCGCAAATATATTGGCATCAATAGCAACACGGCAAGCAGATGAAGCTCCAAAACTCGTCACCCACTTTGAAGCCAAATAAAAAGCCCATTTTTCTTTCTAGTTATTAATGATGTGAAACTACAGACTGTAACTGCAAATAATCATTGGCAAGGGCAACATAAAAGTTATAAATTTAGGCTTTGAAAACAAATCAAACTTGAAGCAATCCTCTGTATTTTATTCCTAAATTAAAGATTTCCTCTTTTTTTTTTTTGAGTGAAAGAACTTATACGTAAGCATGGAAATGAGAACTAAATCATTTGCTGAAACAATTGTCTGAGAGTTACTTAATTCAAAACCACTCTTGTCATATGAAATAAAGCAGAACTTGATTAGCACGTAATAAAAGGCGATTAATTTAACAGACAGTAAATATATTGCTGATTCCTGAAGTCTCTGGCCCCATTTTCTCTTCAGAAAACTATTTCAACTGATAGCATTCTCTCCTTTCATTGAAGTCCTATAGTAATTAAAATCAGTTATTTAATTATATACTGCCTTGATATACAGAGTTCAGAGTTTGTAGGACTATTGCTAATCATCTAAATCAGGAGTTTGGTAAACTATGGCCCAAAGAATTAAACTTGGCCATAACCATTTTTTTTTCTTTTTTTTTTTTTTGAGATGGAGTCTTGCTGTTGCCCAGGCTGGAGTGCAGTGGCGCTATCTGGGCTCACTGCAAGCTCGGGCTCACTGCAAGCTCCGCCTCCCACGTTCACACCATTCTCCTGCCTCAGCCTCCAGAGTAGCTGGGACTACAGGCGCCCGCCACCACGCCTGGCTAATTCTTTTGTATTTTTAGCAGAGACAGTGTTTCACCGTGTTAGCCAGGGTGGTCTCGATCTCCTGACCTCGTGATCCACCCACCTCGGCCTCCCAAAGTGCTGGGATTACAGGCGTGAGCCACTGCTCCCGGCCCTTGGCCATACCCATTTTTTTACATTTTATCTATGATTGCTTTCCTGTGATTGAGTTGAACAGCTGTACAGAGACATTACAGCCTATAGAACAAAAGTAAATTTACTATCTGGCCCTTTGTTGAAATAGACCTTAAGATTGTCACGGGAAAAAATTGAATCTCCTACTCAGAGGATATTGTTTCACAAGTGCGGTCCCTAAAATGGAGCAGGGAACCCTCTTGGGGCCTGCACCCCCTCCATTCCACCACCCTGCACCCCCATCCATGGAAATAAAGGAAAATATTGAGTTCCTTCAAGGGAAATTCCAGGCACCTAGCTAGCCCTGAGAAGCAAGCAACTTGATAAGAAAGAAAGTAATCACAGCTTAAAACAACAGCCAAGGAAGTTCTAGCCATAAGATATTTGAAACTAAAGGCAACATTTTAACATATGTCTCTGAGTTGTTTTTCAGAAACCCAGACTCCCTACCGAGCAGATCCGCTGGCGAGTAGAACACAGATAAGGGGGAGCTGAGGACTGAACCCCGAACTCCGTTTGTCCTTGGCTCTAAATTTATTCTTGAGGGACCTGGAGGAAGCCGTGCCCACGTGCCAGAGCTAATAATCTTTTCTGCTGATCCCAAATGTTTAAACAAACTCTTTTTTCATCAATTGCAAAACAGTCTTTGAATATACCTATGACCGGTAATCTCCTACCTCAAACTATCCCACCTTTTTAGGCCAAACCAATGTATCAGTTCACAATGTTGTTGTAACTTCTGTTTTCCTGAAATTTACCCCTGCCTTTAAAACCCTTACTTGTGGCCGGGCGCAGTGGCTGACGCCTGTAATCCCAGCACTTTGGGAGGCCGAGGTGGGCGGATCACGAGGTCAGAAGATCGAGACCATCCTGCCTAACACGGTGAAACCTCGTCTCTACTAAAAATACAAAAAATTAGCTGGGCGTGGTGGCGGGCGCCTGTAGTCCCAGCTACTCGGGAGGCTGAGGCAGGAGAATGGCGTGAACCCGGGAGGCGGAGCTTACAGTGAGCGGAGATCGCGCCACTGCACTCCAGCCTGGGTGGCAGAGCCAGACTCCATCTCAAACAAAACAAAACAAAACAAACTCTTACTCGCAAGCCATCAGGAGGTCAGGTGTAAAGCAGGAGCTGCTATATTCTCCTTGCTTGGCACCCTGCAAATAAACACCTCTTTTCTCCTGCTGCAAACCTTGGTGTGGGTGTTTGGCCTGACTGCGCTGGGCAGGCAGACCCAGCTTAGGAGCAAAAACATCCCAGACCAGCAGCATGAGCACCACCTAGCAAGTTGTCAGAAATATAAATTCCAGGCTGGGCAGAGTGGCTCACACCTGTAATCCTAGCACTTTGGGAGGCCGAAGCTGGTGGATCACCTGAGGTCAGGAAGTCAAGACCAGCCTGGCCAACATGATGAAACCCCATCTCTGCTAAAAAAATACAAAAATTAGCCAGGGTGGTGGCAGGCTCCTGTAATCCCAGCTACAAGGGAGACTGAGGCAGGAGAATCACTTGAACCCAGGAGGTGGAGGTTGCAGTGAGCCCCTGAGATCATGCCATTGTGCTGCAGCTTCAGCAACAAGAGCGAAATTTTGTCTCAAAAAAAAAAAAGAAAAAAAGAAAAAAAAGACTGACCATGTTGAGAGGTGAAGCCAGCTGGGCTTCTGGGGCAGGTGGGGACTTGGAGAACTTTTATGTCTAGCTAAAGGATTGCAAATGCACCAATCAGCACTCTGTAAAATGGACCAATCAGCAGGATGTGGGCAGGGCCAAATAAGGGACTAAAAGCTGGCCACCCAAGCTAGCGTCAGCAACTCGCTTGGGTCTCCATCCAGGCTGTGGAATCTTTGTTCTTTTGCTCCCCACAGTAAATCTTGCTGCTGCTCACTCTTCGGGTCCGCCCCACCTTTAAGAGCTGTAGCACTCGCCACGAAAGTCTGTGGCTTCACTCCTGAAGTCCGTGAGATCACGAGCCCATGGGAAGGAGGAAACTCCGGACACACACACCATCTTTAAGAGCTGTAACACTCACCGCGAGGTTGGCTGCTTCATTCTTGAAGTCAGCAAGACGAAGAACCCACCACAAGGAATAAATTCCGGACACAATGTTACCTGTCATTTAAAATGTAGCCACTTCTCCTCCCTTTCCTAGTCTCTCCTTGTTCCTATTGGAAGTTACCTCTAACACTTCCATTTGTTTAATATCATAAAGTTGCAAGAAACGTACAGAGAGAGAAAAAGGTTCTAACTTTTCTTAAGATAATATGGGTGTATATATACGCAAATATATATATAATGCTTGTATAAATTAACATTTATTATCTTCTATGATATGATAAGGCATATCACCAAGTAATCTGGAATATCAAAATATCAGCATCAGCTCTCTCTGTTTCAATACGTATAAACTAGGTAGTTCACTAGGAACTTTGAATACATTAGCTCTGATCTTTACAACAGTTCTATGGAAAAAAATAGTTATCTCCTTTTAACAGAGGAAGAAAATTGTTTTTTCAGGGTATTTCCACTCTTACCTCAGTTTCCTCATATGTAATGTGGGATTGACTCAGTCATCTGCTTGAAAGAAGATGGGCAAATCTGGTCCTCTGAAGAGGGAAAGGGGAGATGAGTGAAAATGAACAGAGGAAGCCAAAAAAAAAAAAAACCACACACGCACACACCAAAAATAAGGAGGAGACCCATTTTAACAGGCATATAACAAGTCAGTTTTATCTCTTTATTTTTTTATTTTGTATTTTTTTTTTTGAGACTGAGTCTCACCCTGTCGCCCAGGCTGGAGTGCAGTGGCACAATCTCGGCTCACTGCAACCTCCACCTCCCGGGCTTAAAGGATTCCCCTGACTCAGCCTCCAGAGTAGCTGGGATTACAAGTGTGCACCACCATGCCTGGCTAAGTTTTTGTATTTTTAGTAGAAAGGGAGTTTCACCAAGTTGGCAAGGCTGGTCTTGAACTCCTGACCTCAAGTGATCTGCCTGTGTCGGACTCCCAAATTGCTGGGATTATGGGCGTGAGCCAGTGTGTCCAGCAGAGTTTTATCTTCAAATAAAATATTTTTTTAAGAAAGCTGAAAGCCTCACAGAAGATATGTCCTTGAGGGAAAAATCTCAAACCCTTGACTTGTTTGTCATTTGATAGTTTCGGTAACTGAGTCTCAGTGAGCTACGGTTTTCGTAGCTCTACAGGCACAAAGCAAAAGGGTGGTCATAAAGCTGCCTTTCAGCAGACATCTGCAGGCGTGGCTGGGTGTGTGCCACACACTGGCCAGCTCAGAACATGTCCTTGTCACTGTGAAGCTTAGTGAGATGCACAGGCTATGACCTGTCTTAAAGCAAAGTCAAGACATAAGCAAAACAGAAGCCACCCTGATATTTCAGAGTGGGATATCTGTTAAGAGATTATCTCATTCAGATTGATTTTTAATATTAATTGAATTGCAGGCTTGCCACAATATGGTGGAATACTAACAAAACATAAAAGCCACAGTAGCCGTGGGGTGTGACGTCAGCAAGTGATAAAATGAGACTTTCTGGATCTCGGCCCCTCACAGAAACATCAATTTGAACAAATCTTCACACACAAAAATCCTTTCACAAGAGCTGAGGAATCCACATGAGAGATCACAGCATGTTGAGTGTAACATAGAAATAAAACCCAAGCTCTGGGACCACCACCCCAGCTCTAGGCCAGCCCCTGCAGGCCAAGGTCCAGGCTGGCCTCCAGGGCCCAAGGCTCCAGGCCCACCCCAGAACCAGGCTTGGCCCCATGAACTCATATATATACAGCCTGAGTCTGAGAAAAAAAGGTAATTTTTCTTCACAGTGAAAATTGCAGCCAAAGCAACATCTTGCATTGGATATAAATGTCTTTCTCTAGGGCCTGGACATGCAGAAATGTGTAATATTCATAGAGAATTGTCTCCAGCAATGAAGAGGAATATGTGGGAACATTTAATTTTTTACAACAAAGTTACAATCTGGGAAACACACTTTAGGCTGATGCAAACTCAATCAATGCTAGTATTGGCTACTCAGAATAACCTACAATTTAATTTGTTAGTTTTTATAATCACCCCTGAAAATCAGAACTCATAATTACGATGTTGTGTATAATTGCAAATGAGAATTTTAGAAATCATTTAAAAGGCAAAAGGTGTTTATGAAGGTAAAAATCTCAAATTTCAAACAAAACCTTGTGATTTGAGATAAAAGATCTAATAGCATCATAACAGATTCATACGCAAATTTAATACAAATGCAACAGGAATTTAGCTGGAAGAGAAGATGCTGCATTTTGAACAACTGTGTTGAGTGACTCAAAACATGGCTCCTGTAAGGAGGAAGATCTCATGCTGGAAATGCACGTGATGAATGAATAAAATATTTTTACAAAGACTATATTTTCTTTTTGTTTTGAGACTGAGTTTCACTCTTGTTGCCCAGGCTGGAGTGCAGTGGTGAGATCTTGGCTCACTGCAGCCTCTGCCTCCCGAGTTCAAGTGATTCTCCTACCTCAGCCTCCAGAGTAGCTGGGATTACAGGCACCCCTGAGGTCAGGAGTTTTTTGTTTTTGGTTTTTTGTTTTTGAGACAGAGTCTCATTCTGTCACCCAGGCTGGAGTGCCCTGGCTCAATCTCGGCTCACTACAACCTCTGCCTCCTGGGTTGAAGTGACTGTCCTGCCATAGCCTCCTGAGTAGCTGAGATTACAGGTACCCGCCACCACGACCGGCTAATTTTTGTATTTTCAGTAGAGACAGGGTTTCACCATATTGGCGAGGCTGGTCTTGAACTCCTGACCTCAGGTGATCCACCCGCCTCGGTCTCCCAAAGTGCTGGGATTATAGGCGTGAGCCACCGCGCCCAACAAAAGACTATGCTTTCAGGAATCATTTCTTTTTTTTTTTTGAGACGGAGTCTCACTGTGTCACCCAGTCTGGAGTGCAGTGGCGCAATCTCGGCTCACTGCAAGGTCCACCTCCCAGGTTCACACCATTCTCCTGCCTCAGCCTCCTGAGTAGCTGGGACTACAGGCACCCACCACTATGCCCGGCTAATTTTTTTTTATTTTTAGTAGAGACGGGGTTTCACCATGTTAGCCAGGATGGTCTCGATCTGACCTCGTGATCCGCCCACCTTGGCCTCTCAAAGTGCTGGGATTATAGGCATGAGCCACTGCGCCCAGCAAAAGACTATATACTTTCAGGAATCATTTCCTTTTTTTTTTTTTTTCCTTTGAGATGAAGTCTCACTGTGTCACCCAGGCTGGAGTGCAGTGGCGCGATCTGGGCTCACTGCAAGCTCCGCCTCCCAGGTTCACGCCATTCTCCTGCCTCAGCCTCCCAAGTAGCTGGGACTACAGGCGCCCACCACCACACCCAGCTAATTTTTTGTATTTTTAGTAGAGACGGAGTTTCACTGTGTTAGCCAAGATGGTCTCGATCTCCTGACCTCGTGACCCACCCACCTCGGCCTCCCAAAGTGCTGGGATTACAGGCATGAGTCACCACCCCCGGCCGAAACCTTAATTTTATGAAATGTTTTTTTATGTTCCAGACCTTAACTGATGAGCTTTTAAAACTAACTTCTAAATTTGAAATGTATATTTAATTATGGAATACGCTTTAATGTAATCTTTTGGGATAATCACCTAATATTTTGCCTTGGCATTGGGCATGAAGCATTTGTCTGGGTGATCACATGGAGGGCCCTGCCTCAGTTTACCTCCCTCATTGACCTGCTTGTTGACTAAATTATCATAACTTGATCACAATTCCTTTGAAGCTGCCTGAATCAAAGCCACTGATCTGCAGATAAAATCAAAATACACATTCAGTGTTACACACAAAGTAACATTGCCTTATATACTGTATCTACACTTTATTGAGAACTGGAAATTCCATAAACATGGAGAGGCATTACTGAAGGCAAGCAAGCAAAACTCTAGCATGCAGTCAGACTCATGGCAGGAATTAGGCATGATCTACCTTGTCCTCACCCTTGGGGCACTGCCTGCATGTCTGTAGGCCTCGGCCATGCCCAGCTCCTGTGGCTGCCTGGAAAGTGTGGGTTTGGCCAGTTGCTGCCATCACTACTCCTCAATAGGTCCTGGATCTCAGAATTTGCCTGGTAGTCCTGGGCCCACCTGCTGATGTTCAGGATAAAGGGAGTGGGGAGAAGGGGTCATTCTGCTTCCTTCACGTGGAAGTGCAGTTGTTAGTTTTGGGGGACTGGACAGCAAAGAGCATGGTTCCTTGACTCCTGGGTCATGGGGTGTCTGGCCACTTCCACATCGTTGCCACTCACTCCTAGTGATACACCAGGCACCAGAGGCTCCACTCCTGAGGCACATGCCCCGGCTGCCTCAACACTGGCCCTTCCCCCCACCTTGGATGAGCTCCTGTTGCTTCAGCATGAGCAGGGCTCACTCTTTCACTCTGCAGCAGGCCTAGGCTGTGCTGGCTTCTGAGATGCCCCAGGGCACCCGCTGGGAAGTGGGGTGTATGTGCGTGAGGCGCCAGTGTTGGTCCATTCTCGCTGCACAGCCTTATTTTCCCAGCTTTTTCCTTGTGCCGCCCTCAGCCTTTTGTCTCTCATGACTTCCCTTTCAGGTCACACCACTTTGCTGCTTGACCCTTGAGTGTTAGCAACCCTTCCCTGCTCTGGGACTCAGTTTACCTTTTGTTGGTCTAGAGGTGCAGGACAGGTGATTTCTTCCCAGCTTGACTCCAGATCAATAGCTTGCCCTCCCCTGGTGACAGCAGAGAGATCTGTGAATCACTGCCCACCCTCACCCCCACTCCTGCCCCTCGGCATACTCCCGCCCCAGGTCTTCCCAGGTCACCTGCTCTTAGGCTCCACCACACCCCTGCAGGTCAGCCTCTCCCAGCAGCCTTCCTGTAGACTCCTTCTCCTCTCTCCCCCTCTCTTTCCTGTAGAGGCTTTGGAGCCCATCAGCCCGAGGACCAGGACTCCACCACCCTGCACCCCTCTTGCGCCAGGATGGCCCCAAACTTCGGCAGATGCTCTGGCTCTAAAACTTGGACCAGCACCAGGTACCCCAGGCAGGGCCCTAGTTCTGCTGTCCTGCCCTGAAGGCCATGTTCGGTGGCTGGCCTAGCCTGATGGGAACATGTACAGTCAGGAAATCTCTCCACAGCTCCAGGCCCAGGTAAATGGTTCTCAATACTCTGGCCCAAGGGACTGGTCCTTTGAGGTCAGGAGCACATCTCAGCTTCAAGGAAAGCTGAAAAATATGCAAGACTCTATTGCCAGGATAATTTATTTTTATTTTCTCTTTATATTACTATTTTTTTTCTTTATCTGCCTTTTTTTTTTTTTTTTTTGAGATGGATCCCAGGCGGGAGTGCAGGGGCATGATCTTGGCTCACTGCAACCTCCGCCTCCTGGGTTCAAGTGATTCTGTTGCCTCAGCCTCCCCAGGTAGCTGAGACTACAGGCGTGTGCCACCAAGCCCAATTAATTTTTTTTTCTTTTTTTTTTTTTTTTTTTAGCAGAGATGGGGTTTCACCATGTTGGCCAGGCTGGTCTCAAACTCTTGACCTCAGGTGACCTGCCTGCCTTGGCCTCCCAAAATGCTGGGATTACAGGTGTGAGCCACCTCGCCTGGCCCCGGGCCAATAATTTTTAAATAACTCCTACCATAATATTTTCGTTTGTTATTTATTTGATAAATATGATAGACTAAAAATAAATTAGCAAGGCCGGGTGCGGTGGCTCACGCCTGTAATCCCAGCACTTTGGGAGGCCAAGGCAGGCAGATCACCTGAGATCAGGAGTTTGAGACCAGCTTGGCCAACATGGTACTAAAAATACAAAAATTAGCCAGGCGTGGTGGCAGGTGCCTGTAATCCCAGGTACTTGGCAGGCTGAGGCAGGGGAATCGCTTGAACCCAGGAGGCGGTTCTGTTTGCAAGTATAGTTGTAACTGCAACCCAAAATGTCTTAGAAACTTGCTATTTGAAGTATTGTCATCACCTGGGATCTTGCTAGAATCTGCATTTAACAACATTCTCAGGCAATTTTAATGATCATTAGGTTTGAAAAACACTGCCTTAAAACAAAGGAAAGAATGGCAGGCAAGTTTCAATTCTAAGCATGCTATATTGTATGTTCTTGGGCAAATTCCACTAAGTCTGAATTTTAAAATAGTTAACTATGGGTAGTAATGAATGAAGTGTCACCTTGTAAAGCTACTTTGAGAAATCCAAGTGTTGGCAAACCCTTTGCAAAAATAAAGTTGCTGAACATATTCTAATACAGTTATGTTGGGCTCCTGTTCTTATGAGGCAGAGAAAATTATGCTTTAATCAGAGCTTCTAAGTCACAATCACTGGAATCTATTATTAGCCTTTAAGTCCTCATTCTTGAGACAGCACCATTTCTATTTTTGGTTGCTGGGAAACTGATTATGCTCTTCAAATAGAAACTGCAGCAGCAGATGAACTTTAAGAAAATATAATCATGTTTGTAAGAAGAAAAATTTAATAAAGGAAGAAATGAAACAAAGCAAACTCATAGACTGATCTGTTTTGAAATTCCATTTCTGTCCTCATGATAGCATTATTGACTTAATAATGAAGTAATGTTACTCATTCACAATTGTACAGCAATGGCCAAAGACTGAATGACCTCTATTTTCTGAAATTGTTTCATTTACAGAGTTCACTCCTGATGGGAACATCCAGAGACATCTTCAGAGAGCTTTGCTTTGACCCCCACCCCCCAACATTTTAAGGCATGGATCTGGAAATAATGTAGTTGGTTTGCAAAGGTAAGTCTTATTTTACAATTGCATATTCTACAAAGGCATTTCACTTTCAAAGCTCCTCCAAGACAATTACCTCCAGATTGAGACACACCCTGCTCCTGAATTCATGCCTGCATACCAGCCATTCTTAATCACCTTCCTTTTTAATCCAGTTGGAAAATAAAATGTTTCCTTGTTCTCTGAATGTACAGTACTCAGATGTACAATGAAAATGATTGATGCTCCAACCGCCTATAAATTCTTTGATTCCATCAGCTTTTCTCTTTCTATTGGCCATTTCCCATTAGTGTTTAAACTTAAGACTCACACATCTCCCATCAAATAAACCCCCTTCACCCTACTTTACTGATTTCAATATTTTAGCTTCTCCTCTCCTTATTTACTTCCCATTTGTCTTTCAGTCCATCCTGCTCTATTTTCACTTCTACAATTGCACAGAAATGTCTCTGATAAAAGTTCCCAGCATACACTTTAGAACTGATATTACTTGATCTCACTTCAGTGGTAACAATATGCTGCTGATGGAAGTACCACAGAACTCACAAAAAGCTTTTACTTCTCCAGGGACTTTCATTATGTCTGTCTAGAGCCAACAAAGCCAAACCCTGAACAATGGCCATTTCAGCCTCCATTTGACCCAAGCCAACTTATATTTAATGAATGAAACTAATGCTTTAAAAATTATAATGAGCCAGGCATGGTGGCTCATGCCTGTAATCCCAGCATTTTAGGAGGCCTGACTCTAGAGGTCAGGAGTTCGAGACCAGCCTGGCCAACATGGTGAAACTGTATCTGTACTAAAAATACAAAAATTAGCTGGGCGTGGTGGCACCCACCTGTAATCCCAGCTAGTCGAGAGGCTGAGGTGGGAAAATCGCTTGAACCCGGGAGGCAGAGGTTGCAGTGAGCTGAGATCACACCACTGCACTCCAGTCTGAGTGACAGAGCAAGACTGTCTCCAAAAAGAATAATAAATAAATAAATAAATAATGAAATTCAATTGATAATGATGGAAATCAACCAATAAACCTACAATACTTTCATTAAGATTCTTTTTAAAAGAAAACAATATATTTTTATTAGGAAAAGTAAAGGATTTAGTCATAATAAGTAAAATTTGGTTTCAGAGCTCTTAATTTACTGATTGACTGTGAACAGATGCCAATGGGAACGTGTCTGTAGCACCATTACTCACATGAGGGAGTATTTTAATCCTTTATATATACATCACTAATAGTGGAACCTTGAAGGAGTCCATTTCTCAATCTTGATATAAATTATAATTTATATTGACACACTAGTTTTTTTTCCCATAAGTTTTATATTGAATCCAAGAAAGCTTTATCAGTGTCTGACACCAAGACATATGCTTTAACCGTAATGTGTTTGGAATGTCCACAGTATATCCCACAGTGTGTGAATCTTTAGCTTTAGAAATTAGCTTTGACAAGGGAGAGGTCCTGAATTATCCAACAACAAAATTGAATTATTGTATAAGATGTAGCGCCCATACCTGCAGGGCATGTGAAGCTCAGTGATTGGATAATAAGACTTTTACTAATGTTATGGAACCTGGGATAAGCAATGCGATAGAACCAGGAAGACAGTTGTCGTTCTTTTATGACTCAGAAACAGTATGATGACTTATAACTAAAACTTTGTTCATACAAGGCCAGCACTCTTCTAATGATGCAATATGCATTTGATTTATCCATTATTACTACTGTCCATATGAAAAGCAAAAATTGACATAATGTTTATGATTTAAATAATGTAATATATAATTATAATAGTAATAAAAGCATATATAATAATGTTTATATTATGATTATGTTAGGTGGGGTTTCCTTCTTTTCCCTTGAAAGCTGGATAAAAGTGAATTATATAGCCAATAACATGCCCTGTGCAAGTCTAATACTCTCTTGAAAAGTGAAATCTCTCAGGTAAGCCAAAGTTTCATTGTCACCTCTGGCTAAAAATTTCTACTTCTAGTATGTGTGAGATTTTTTTTTTTTTTTTTTTGAGACTGAGTCTTGCTCTATCACCCAGGCTGGAGTGCAGTGGCATGATCTCGGCTCACTGCAACCTCCACCTCCCGGGTTCAAGCGATTTTTGTGCTTCAGCCTCCCGAGTAGCTGGGATTACAGGCGCCAGCTACCATGTCCAGCTAATTTTTGTATTTTTAGTAGAGATGGGGTTTCACCATGTTGGCCAGGCTGGTCTCAAACTCCTGACCTCAAGTGATCTGCCCCACTCCCCCACCCAAAATGCTGGGATTACAGGTGTGAGTCACCGTGCCTGGCTGAGGATTCCTTTTTTAAAAGTTTCTACAGTGTTGGAAAATAATCAGGAGAGTCAGGCAATGTGAAGGAACTACTCAGATGTCACTGGCCATCTGGTTAAGAAGCACAGTGATGCCATCTTGTTCTAGGATGGCGGCAGTAGGGATGGAGAGAACCTTGAGGAGCCATTCTAATTCTTCCCATTACCGTGTTTTATTTTTGTAATAGCAATGATCACTTTCTGCAATTATATTATTTCTGTGTATGTTTGGGTATTTTTTATTTATCTACTTTATTTTCATCTTCCACCATGAAAATATAAGATCGAAATGGCAGAGTAAAGATGTGCTTTGTCTTGTACACTATATCAACAGAACTTTGACATTGCTGACAGACAGTTGATGCACATTAAATATTTGATGAATAAGTGGATGAATTAATGAATGGAAATAGAGCAATAGGGTTAGCTCTAGGGTAGTGTGGTATCATGCAAGTGGGTGTGTAAGTTGGGAGAGACCTGAGCATGTTTAAATATACTAGGGAATTATGTGGTTGGAACAATAAATTAAATACTGAGATACTCAAGCAAGATGTCATGGGACCTAATACAGGAGATAAGACTATGTGATTCGCATTAAACGCTCATGTAGCATGTTATACGAGATCTTCAGACTTGCTATATAATTATTCAGCACTCAAGGTGGTGCTTAAGAAAATTGAGGAACTAAAGACTCCTTTGTGTTACCTGATCTGTAGAAATAATTTAAAACCTTGTCTAGTTTTCTTTTTTTTTCTCCTGTCATAAGCTTGTTAAGAGATTCCTCCATAGAAACTTTTTTTGGTAAAATAATAACTGCTGTTCAGTGCATCATTTCTAACAATGTGATGTTAGCTACAAATATTTAGGTAGCACATCCTTTCAAAATAGGCGCTTTCGGGCTAGGCGCAGTGGCTCACGCCTGTAATCCCAGCACTTTGGGAGGCCGAGGCCGGCGGATCACAAGGTCAGGAGATGGAGACCATCCTGGCTAACACGGTGAAACCCCGTCTCTACTAAAAATACAAAAAATTTGCCGGGCGTGGTGTCGGGCGCCTGTAGTCCCAGCTACTCGGGAGGCTGAGGCAGGAGAATGGCGTGAACCCAGGAGACGGAGCTTGCAGTGAACCGAGATTGCGCCACTGCACTCCAGCCTGGGGGACAGAGCGAGACTCTGACTCAAAAAAAAAAAATAGGTGCTTGCGATAACTTGGAGTGCTGTTCTTACTGATGCTTACACTTTGGTAGCTCACCTCTCCTACGGGGAACTGTGTTCTCAGACATGTCATGGGAAGTATGTCATCGGCACAGCTTCATTGGTAGAATTTACTAAAAATACAAGTTATCTGTATTTGCCTTATAAAGGCCTTCATATAGTGTCCAATATTTTCTAACCAGATGTACAGTGAAAATGATTGATGATCAAATACATTTTCATGGTCAATGCAACAACCGTTGAGCAAAAAAATTAACATTTATTGCAGACACTGGGCAGTTGTCAAACAATATTCATGTCATTAAATCAATAAATGGGCACAGAATAATGGAAGCAAGGTCGTGGATGAACAGATGGCAGTGTAATGGAGTCAATCTTTTACTGATTTAACCACTCTCCTCTTATTTCTAATGTCCCTTCCATCACGATGAGTTCTCTTTGGGATGATGTGTATCTAACTGAAGCTCCTCCTCAACAGCTGCTGAGAATTGAGTGTTGATGGTAATTATCCGTATGATTTTTAATCAGACACTTTTCACAGATTCAAGTGGAATGATAACTCTATGGGAAATTGATAGGACAGCCAGAGTTATGTAAATTTTGGAAAAAAAAATTAATCAACAGCGAATACAAATATTATGTCTAAAGGCTAACAACTGGATGATCATAATAACTCAATGGCTAATAAATAAACTAGGGAAATCCAAGCCGGAATTAGAAGTAAAAATTGGCCATTATATAATTATGACCAAGAAGTTCTTTCTTAATTAGCAAGGGGTACAGCTGTATGTTTATTTCAAAGTAATTTTTTGTTTGCAGTTACAATGTTGAATGAAAGGCTAAAACAATTCCTTCCTTAGCCCTTTCCCTTTGATGTGAAAAATTAACTCTGAGTACCCTCAGTAACTTTGAATACGCTTTTTATACCCTTAAAGACAAAAATAAAGTCATCATTTTTTCATTGACTGTAACTATTAATACTATATTCATGTTACTGTAGCTTTAACTGATGACTCATTTTTAGAACATACTATCGTTGATCTATGGCAAATGCTTTTAAAACTCCTCAGAAGCTAATCATTTATGTTGAAAACTCACAAAACTGCACATAATATAATAGATAAAGGGAGGGCATAGTGAAGTTTTCATTTGACTTATCTGGGTTTTGGGATTTACCCCCTTACAGTATGTGAGCCTATGAATAAGTAGGTAAGCTTCTAGTGCTCAGAGGTTTAATGTAGAGTGTGTTTATTTTTAATATTTGTGAATTTTCTATAGAGCAGAGCTGTTTCCATTGAATTAAACCATATTTACTTCTGCTAAAATATTGTAGAATGTAATTGTTCCCTTTACTATATCTATATTTTTTTCTCATTTATTTATTTATTTATTTTGAAAATGAATCTTGCTCGGTCACCCAGGCTAGAGTGCAGTGGTGCGATCTTGGCTCACTGCAAACTCCACCTCCCAGGTTCAAGCAATTCTCCTGCCTCAGCCTCCAAGTAGCTGAGATTACAGGCACATGCAACCATGCCAACTAATTTTGTATTTTTAGTAGAGATGGGGTTTTGTCATGTTGGCCAGGCTGGTATCAAACTCTTGACCTCAGGTGATCCACCTGCTTCGGCCTCCCAAAGTGCTGGGATTACAGACATGAGCCACCTCACCTGGCCCCCTTTACTATATTTAAAGATGACATTGTCATATGATGTGTATGATGAAAAGTATATCATTGAACTCTATTCTCATATGAAAGGACATCTGATTTTCTAGAAGATTTATCTGCCCCAGGTATATTCCTGTGGGAATAATACAAACCAAATTAAAATGAAGTCTGCTTTTTTTTTTTTCTATTCCTTATTGAGATTGAATTCAGAATTCCAAACAGGTTTGCTATTCATTTTCATCTTGACAAAATCAAAACCTAAATATTCTATGTGTCACCTACTGTGATGGGAAAGATAAAACTAATTATTTAATTATCAAACATGAGTAGGTGAATTATTTTTATTAATCAACATTACATAAACGTGTTTTGAGAATAAAATTTTGTATCCTCACTTTTTAACCAAAGACATAAAATATAACTGACATTCTGTAGCCAAATCAATGATATATACACCCAGATTGACCTTTAAGAGTTTAAAAATAAATGTATGCTGCATGGTCAAATGGATTTGGAGATACATAGGCTAGTAGATGAAGCACTAGGGCTTTATGAAACCTTTTTTGAGGGCCGGTGCTGTGGCTCAAGCCTATAATCCCAGCAGTTTGGGAGGCCCAAGCAGGCAGACCACTTGAGGTGAGAAGTTCGAGACTAGCTTGGCCAACGTGGCAAAACATCTTTACTAAAAATACAAAATTAGCCAGGCATGGTGGTGCACACCTGTCATCCCAGCTATTTGGGAGGCTGAGGCATGAGAATCACTTGAACACGGGAAGTGGAGACTGCAGTCAGCTGAGATTGTGCCACTGCACTGCAGCCTGGGCAACAGAGTGATACTCCACCTCAAAAAAAAAAAAAAAAGGTTTTTTTTTTTGAGTTAGTGATACATGTTAATAAATTAATCCAGAGATTTAAAAACCACTTTTACTTTCCATGTTAAAAAAAATCAGCATACTTTCCAACTATAACCTAAAAATCTACAAAAAACTTTCCAAATTCTCAGTAAAGGAAGTATTGCAATCCACAGGAGATTATTGCTTTGTTCTAAAGACAGTTGAAACATTTTCGAATCTCTGACATTTTTTAGATCACCCTTTGCAGGGTGGGGTTCACGGAACACTTTTTTTCCTGATCATATGACATTGCCTACATAATTTTGTGATTAACTGACTTTGGAAAATCAGGATTGAGACAAGTAAACAGTCCTATCAGAACTAAATATGTTAATGTATGGTGTCCCCAAGGGGTGTGATATGCAGCATTAACTCTTAAATGTAGATAATCATGGGACTTTTATAAGCAGATACACTTTGTGAATTACTACTTTAAATATTGGTAGTAATAGATTGCTTAATCGAACTTAAATTTAAAGAGATGATGTTGGACTTCTAGTGAATGGAAGCCAAGTATTTCTATTTACTAGAAAAATGTACATGATCTATTATCCACAGTGAACTAGCAAACCTTCCATCTTGATATTTAGTTTTCATATTAATTGTATTATATTTCATCAGCTTACATTTTTTACTCACTAGGGCATACTTTTATTTTTTCATTGCAATAGCTTATTCAATATCTGCCTATTCATATATTAAGTAATAATTTTTTTAACCTGCATCTCACACAGAGAAATCATGAGGAAATCTCCACTCATTCTGGTCAGCATCACAGTTGCAGTATGTTGCAGGATTCCTGGGAGTCGATGTGATTTTTTCTAATACACACATATGTTTCTCAACATTGGGCAAATAACCTCTCCGGTAACTGTGCGCTTCGCTGGTTCTTCCTACCTACCAGCTCAACAGGGTATCATCTGAAAAAAGAATATGAGAAAGGCGAGTCCTATTTAGCCCAACTACTCACCCTCTAATGCGGTTCCGCTTCCGCTCAGATAATGACGTAAAAACAGTTTTTTGGTGTGTGTGGGTTTTTTTTTTTTTGGGGGGCGGGGGGGACAGAGTCTTGCTCTGTTGCCCAGGCTGGAGTGCAGTGGCGTGATCTCGGCTCACTGCAAGCTCCGCCTCCTGGGTTCACGCCATTCTCCTGCCTCAGCCTCCCGAGTAGCTGGGACTACAGGCACCCGCCACCACGCCCGGCTAGCTTTTTGTATTTTTAGTAGAGACGGGGTTTCACCGTGTTCGCCAGGATGGTCTCGATCTCCTGACCTTGTGATCTGCCCGCCTCGGCCTCCCAAAGTGCTGGGATTACAGGTGTGAGCCACTGCACCCGGCCAAAAGAAACAGCTTTAAGAAAATAACAATCCAAACCCTGCAACAGAACATTTCTTTAAGAATACTAACCAGCTTTTTTTTTTTTTTAATTAAAAAATATTTACGGCTGGACACGGTGGCTCATGCCTGTAATCCCAGCACTTTGGGAGGCTGAGGCGGGCGGATCACGAGGTCAGGAGATCAAGACCATCCTGGCTAACACGGTGAAACCCTGTCTCTGCTAAAAATACAAAAAAATTAGCCGGGCGTGGTCGTGGGCTCATGTAGTCCCAGTTCACGGGAGGCTGAGGCAGGAGAATGGTGTGAACTCGGGAGGCGGAGCTTACAGTGAACCGAGATGGCGCCACTGCACTCCAGCCTGGGGGACAGAGCGAGACTCTGTCTCACAAAAAGATAAAATAAAATAAAGAGCCTTTAATATGTTCAGTAATTACACAAAATTAATTATCTTGAGCAGACCAGTTACATAATTTCTTTTGTTTTTGTTTTCTCTTTCTTTCTTTCTTTTTTTTTACACAGAGTCTTGCTTTGTCACCCAGGCTGGAGTGCGGTGGCCTGATCTTGGCTCACTGCAGCCTCTGCCACCTGAATTCAAGCGATTCTCCTGTCTCAGTCTCCCAAGTAGCTAGTACTACAGGTGCATTCCACCCCACCTGGCTAATTTTGTGTTTTTAGTAGAGACGGGATGTCACCATGTTGGCCAGGCTGATCTTGAACTCCTAACCTCTGGTGATCCTCCTGCCTTGGCCTCCCAAAATGCTGGGATTACAGGCATAAGCCACCACGCCCAGCCCTGTAATTTCTTGAAAACAATTTTCAAAGATTGTTTTCATAGAAATAAGTAGCAGCTATGTAGAGATTGAAGCTAAAATCTGTTTGAGACCATGGAGTGCCTATCTAAAACCCTAATGTCATGAGGAGATATGATTTGTTATTGCATTTATTAGATAAAACCCCCAGCTGCATATTAAACATTTAGCGTGACATGGTTCTACTTCTTTGTATTATCGGAGCTCAGAGCACAGTACCCCAAAGTATGGTGCCTTGGCATGTGTGGATTGTTGCACTAAAGGAGACAGGAGGGTTTTAGAAGCAAGTAGTTCTCTTTGGCCTTCTCCCATCCTTCTGTCTCCTGAAACAAGCCATAAAATCTAGAAAGGTTATCTTTTACCTACCTCCCCTGAGAGCTCATAAGACCCTCATTCCAGAGGAGTCCTGCCCCTTACCTGGAGAAAGGAATGCTACACATGAAACCGTCATTGCAAAATTATAACTGAGGCAGTGAAAGAGATCTGACCTAACCAACTCCATCTTGCTTCTAACTTCCAAGCTGTCCTTCGTCATTCCTTGGCGTAGGCTGAACTAACTTTGGAAGGAACTTAGTTTATAATTTATAGATTAAAATGAACATAATGACAGCTCTTTCCCAAAACAAATCCCTTTCTTGCTTAGGGACTAGACTGGCTTTGTAGGACTAACAAACTAGTCACAAGATTAGAAATTATGGTTTAGGAGTCATGCAGCTGGAGGCTACGAGGTTCTTTCCAGATTGCTCCAGGGGATAACATCACTACTGTAAAGCCTAAGACCAGCTCTTGAGATATTTTGCAGACGCTGCACTTGATGGATCAGCAGCCATCACCCCGATCGATAAACTGGCTCATCTGATATTGTGGCCCCACTCAGGAACTGACTCAGCACAAGAGGACAGCTTTGACTCCCTATGACCTGACCAATCAGCACACCCAACTCACTGCCCCCCACCAGTTCACAAATTATCCTTAAAAACTCTGATCCCCAAATGCTCCAGGAGACTAATTTGAACAACAATAAAACTTCAGTCTCCCACACAGCTGGTTCTGTGTGTATTACACTTTCTCTGTTGCAATTCCCCTGTCTTGATAAATCAGCTCCGTCTAGGCAGGGGGCTAGATGAACCCATTGGGCGGTTACACACAGAGAGACCAAGAAGAATCAGAACAAACAGGCCTTGCTGGGCTCTGCTCAGTTTATTACCATTAGATCATATCCCTTTTGTCCAGTTACGTTGCTCCACAACTATTCACTTCTTTCATCAGATTTAACATAAAAATACAGTTTCCCCCTGGGTGTTTGGGTCTTCATTTCTGAAGCCTCCTGTGTCAAGCAAAACTTTGATTAAATACCTTTGTTATGCTTTTCTCTTGTTAACCTGTCTTTTGTTATGGGGGTTTTGGGCTGTAAACCTTGTGGCGGGTGAAGAAAAGATAGGACTTTTCTCCCCTAGAGTATTTTAAAAGTCTTGTGGAGGCCTGTGCTTATGTCAAAGATGTCTGGAGGCATGGCTTGACTGTTCATTCAAAGACAAAGAAACAACACTCATGGACTTTCCTGCCTGGAGGAAATGTCACCCTTGGCCACACAGCTTCTCAGAGCAACGTTCACGTCCACCAGCGGCACTGATAACTGACTCCTCAGCACTGTCCAGCGAATGCTGCATGGAGGCTCGCAGGCACCCCAGCTTAAAAAGGAGGAGGAGAAGGTAAATACCTACCTAGTACACAGGAAATCAAAGAGCAAAGCTTAAGAAGTGGGCTTAGACTCATCAACCCCTCAAAAATACTCAGCCACTTTTATGTTTTCTTCCCCAACCCCAAGCTCTCATCCTGAGGTCCTGACTGAATCTGGAGCGTGCTTCAGTATCTCCCTAATTTATAAGCGCCACTGCTCATTAAGGCTCCCTGTTAGATGAGACCTCTGCTGCAACAGCCTCTCTGCTTGTAAACATCACTGCATATATCACCACCCACCCCAGCCCAGCAGGGAAAGGAAAACAACAACAACAAATAAAATGCAATTCTAGGAATAGTGAGATATGCAAGAAGGCATCAGTATTAAACTTTCTGTTTTGTTTTGTTTGAGACTGAGTTTTGCTCTTGTTGCCCAGGCTGGAGTGCAATGGTACGATCTCGGCTCACTGCAACCTCTGCCTCCCGGGTTCAAGCGATTCTCCTGCCTCAGCCTCCGAAGTAGCTGGGATTACAGGCGTGTGCCACCATGCCTGGCTAATTTTTTTTTTTTTTTTTTTTAGTAGAGATGGGGTTTCACCATGTTGGTGAATACAACTCCTGACCTCAAGTGATCCACTCATCTTGGCCTCCCAAAGTACTGAGGTTGCAGGTGTGAGCCATCGCACCCGGCCAGTATTAAACATTTTTTTAAAAATTATGTTGAAACTTAAAACTAGGTAGTAGAAAGTAGGTAAAACAATTAATAGATGGTTTTCAAATACCACTTCCAACTTAATTACTAGTCATTATATTTTCTCTTCAGATTGAAGAGCCAAGACATCATTACACCTAAATGCAAAACTGTGTGTTTACATCCAAATCTCTCATCTTTCTTATAAAATAGGAAATAAAATTTTAAAGGTACCAAATGTGTTTAGAACCATTGAAGATAGTTTAAATATTGTTAAACATTTAGGGGACTATAAGAAAAAGTTTGTTTTTTTTTTTTAAATGAGACGGAGTCTTGCTCTGTCACCGAGGCTGGAGTGCAGTGGCGCGATCTCTGCTCACTGCAAGCTCCGCCTCCCGGGTTCACGCCATTCTCCTGCCTCAGCCTCCGGAGTAGCTGGGACTACAGGCGCCCGCCACCACGCACGGCTAATTTTTTTGTATTTTCAGTAGAGACGGGGTTTCACCGTGTTAGCCAGGATGGTCTCGATTTCCTGACCTCGTGATCCGCCCGCCTCGGCCTCCCAAAGTGCTGGGATTAAGGCGTGAGCCACCGCGCCCAGCCAAGAAAAAGTTTTTTTAAAATTAGTGAAAATATTAGACTCTGAAGAATAGAAATAATAAATAAGAAAAATGTAAATGACTTTCTCAACAATTTTAGCCACTGACTCCCATCCTCCTCTGTGCCCTCAAATTCAATTTTCAGTGACTTTCGCAGGCCAAGAGTCATCATTCCCGTTGCTGACAGCTCAGCTCCTCAGCCTGGGAGTATCCATTTTTGGACATGCATTTTTTATTGTACTTGCTTTTTTAACAACTCACATTCATGGTTTCATTTTAGAATATCCATGGTGTAAATAACACATTACTTCGTGCAATGGAGACAATATTGCTTGATTGATTCTGTATTACTCAAAAAAAAAAAAGGCGAGAAAAGAACTTTTATCTGAGGAATGTGAGTCCTTTTAAATAATGAGGCCCAGAGAGACATTAAAATGAGGCAGCAGTCAAGTCCTACTCCCCGCTTTGAGCTAGGTATTCATCTCCTGAAACTGCTTATTGCCACAAGTAGCTATAAATTAACCTAATAATGCCAGAGCAAACGCTATAACCCACACCCTGTAGCTTAACAATGTATAGCCAATCACTAATCAATGTTATTTCTATAAATCAATAAGAATGCCTGACAAACAACTTTGTATCAGCCATGCCTTCTCCCTCTTTTTTGCCTTTAAAAATCTGTTTGTAACAAAGGCCAAACTCATATCCAAGGTTACACGGGTCCGAGTCCTCCTGACAACTGTCTTCACTTTGGCTCAGTAAACTCTTTAAATTACAGAGTTTGTGTCTCAGCCTCTTCCTTTTAGGTCGACAAAATGATAGAGCTTTGGAGGTCAATATTTATCAAAACTGCCATCTTTGGGAAATCTTCTGCATATAAGAGCTGGATGTAATTGAGACAGATGCTGCTTTATTCCACAGCACTGCAAAATATTACCCTCCCTTTCAACTCTACCCCAATCGAAAGCTTCTGGAAATACTAAGTCTCTCATGGATATCTGTGTACATTAACTTTTAAAAGAAATTCTCGAATGGCAGCTTTGCTGTGGCAGCTGTCAGGCATGCATATGAGGAAATGTGTTGTAAGTGCACTGATAAGGAATTACCTGATGTTTCTGTAGACAGATTTTCAAACTCATAATTCTTTTCATGTTCATCATCTTCTCCCCAAATTAAAAAAAATTATCGTCTATATATTTATCTTTTCAGCTAGGGTTTTCCTCATCTCTATATGCATTTCTCTCATTTTCAAATATATTTTTAGGACACGCATGTTCAGATCATGTGGACTACATGTTATCATAACTTTTGTTAAATAAAAATATATTATCCAGTATCAGCTCCTTAAACAAAATGACTTTGGGTCCATAATGGCTACTGAAATGTCAACTGACAAAAATTCAAATATATTTCTGGCACATCGATTATTTACTTCTTTTGTATTTAAAAATGAAATACAACCTGCCCAATCGTGTAACAGGCAAAAGCATTCTTAGATCTTTTACCCCTCTAAGACCAAATGCCCAACTGGAGCATTTATGCTGTTTGTGCAGCATTGCCCAGCTGCAGAGAAGCCCAAGGCTCAGAGGGTAAGAAGTGACTGGAAGTTGTCTTGCTACGTATGTGGTGCAGGTTCTTTAACTTTCATAAAAATATATTTGATAAGATGGTCAATTTGCATGAGTATTTACCCAATCAGAGGGTGCAGAGAACAGTTATATGGAGATTTTTTTTTAAGCTATTACATTTACATCATTTAGAAATCAAAATGAGATAAGTTACCTACCAAGGGTACCTTCCCCATTTCTACGCCCATCATAGGGAGCTGAGAATGGCCTGACTAATAAATTTGCATTAGAATTAACAACCACAGGGATGGCATACTTTACAACAGCAACCCAGGGACAAGGAAAGGGGAGAGGATGTTACCAAGCCTAGGGAAACAACTCAGGCTCATGGTGAACAGGGAGGGAAACTGATAATGTCTAACTAACACAATTTTAAATTCAGTAAGAAAATGGTTTGTTAGATCATGTAGCTCACTTACTCGCCATTGAAAAATGCTGTGAGTGTTTCCATGGAAATCTGAATTCAAAAGATCTTTCCTTTAATCATATTCTGAGAATTACACGGAAAATATCTAAAATAGGCTTTTTTTTTCCTTGAACATTACCTACTCTATATTCACCCTCAGGGTTTTTTCTCTCAAATGAATCAAATATAAAGAGAACCTTGTAGAATACTGAGTTGGGTTGTGGAGTTGACTTATCAAGTGCTATTTTTCTCATTCTCATCACAGCTCATAGCGTGTTGGGAAAAAAAATGATGCCTGAATAGCTCATATGGGCAGGTGGTCAGTATAATTGATTTCCAGTTATGTATGGTTAAAATTTAATAATAGAAAAAACATCCTCCGTAAAGGGAAGTATTGAGAATACATCTATAAAATGTTTTCTTAAGAGTAGAATAAGTTAATCTGTGGATAATAGGTGTGTGTGTGTGTGTGTGTGAGAATAATCCCTCTAAGTCACAGATTTTTACAATACTAATATTTGAAACACCCAAGCAAGGGCACAGACAATTATGTTATGTTTCCCTAATTGTCCATAGCTTATCTTCAAAGAATGAAAGAATGTTAGAGATGGAGGGAAGAAACAGCTTAAGGAATTATAAGTAACCTGCAAAACAGAAAAGTATATAGCTGATGTTCACCACCTTTGAATCATGAATAGACTTGGGAGACTAATTTTAAGAATGGCAAAATGTTGAGACAGTTTCTGTGATGTGGTTGAGTAAGACACTTCAGAACGTGTTTGCTCTGACTCACTGGAGCTTGTCTGGCATCAAAAAGGGTGATTCTTAATTGACCCTTTGTCCACCCTGTCAAGAGCGGTCAAAAGAACACACAATTTAGCAGGTTAAACTATTTTAATTTCATCATTTAATGGGATTTCACAGTATAAATAATAAAATTTACTAGATGTCATATGAAACCCCATGTTTCAGTTCATTTGCCATATTACAGCAATTTTGCAATATTGCAACTTTTTCCTAGATTTTATAATTTCCTATAAAATGTCTTCTATAATCCATCTATGTGATTTCTAAGGGAAAAAGTGATCTTATGTAAAAGGAAAATAACCTTGGATTTTCACATTAGATAGGAATGTACTCATTCCCAAGTCTCCTGGAGGAAAAAAATAAAGACCCTGTCAAGAAAACATTGACAGTACTATAATTAGTGAGTCCGTCATTCATGATTTGGAAATTGACCTATAAGAAAGTGGAGAAAAAACCCCCTGTCTCACAGAAGGCAAAAATCATTTCCATTTATGTCAAAATACCATCCTTTAAGAAGAAATGGAGGGCACTGATTCTGATGAGAAAGGGGAATGCAAGTCATGAAGGAATTGTGAAATAAACACACAGAGAGGATCTATCCTGTCATTTTATCTCTAAATAAAGAACTGATCGATGTCTTGGACTCATGTTGATGAGTAGTGAGGGATGGATGTAACACTAGCATCTGTGCCCAGATACACGAGGATAAACGACGTGCTACTTCATGACTCTGAGGATTTGCTGCCAAGACGGATATTTAAAGTGCAGAAATTCTTCCACAATATTGCTGCCCTTACAGAGACAGGGCATTGGTTAGGCCCTGTATTTTATCCAGGCTAACCCCCTCATCATACAGATGAGGAAAATGAGTCCTGGAAAAATTATGATGACAGAACTGGTGAACTCTGACACTTCGGGTTTTGACCTTGGCTAAATTCTTAGATTTTGCCCAAGAACACACTCTAAGGTTTCTCGCTGTAGTTTGACTGTTTTGTTCTGAGGATTTTGGAAATAGTATCTCCTGACAGGATTTCTGTGTTTTTTGCTGCTCAACTGGCTCTGAAATTTCTGAACATGCCTTATGCAGTTTCAACATTCTTCTGTAATCTCTGCTGAAACATTTTTGTACCTATATTTTATATCGATACTTTCAGTGTGTGTGTGTGTGTGTGTGTGTATGTATGTTCTAGGACCCACTTGAGAAAGATTACCCAAAGTTCATATAAATGCTGCATATTGTTAGGTATTGAATAAGTATTTGGTATCTCTTTATGTTATGAAGAAGTAAACAGTGTATCCGCATTTAAATATGAAGACAGGGTTACAGTGGAAGCATGATGCTATCATCTAGTGACACTCATCTTGCAGTATCATATTTTTACTAGTTAAGTGTTCTTTATTTTAAGTAGGAGGTACAGGATTCTGAAGCATAGTGTAAAAGATTGGAAAAGGTTTCACAGGGAAACCTGTGGGTATGAATCATACATGCTGTGGAAACCAAGGATCTTCTCAAAGTCATAGTTACTGGACTTCAAATGAAGCCCTGTGATTAAAGAAGCAAGTCAGCTTAGTAATAGCCAATATTGACTGAAAATCTGAAGGGCATTTGTTTAACCTCCTTAAATAGTTGTTATCCAACAAATCTGCTAAAAAATAGTTTTCAATTATTTAATACTTACTGTCTTTGTTCACTTAAACACAACTTGCAAATAAGAAGTAGTTATTGCAAAAGGTAGAAATGATCATCCAATGTGCAATTCCTTGTCATGAAAACCCTCCAAGGCTGGTTTAAAATAGAAACTTCCTTAAATGTTCTGCAAATAAAAATTCAAGATAATTAAAATCCAGAACAAAAGAGAAAATATTTACATAAAACACACTTCTACAGTATTTTAATTTATTCTGAATCATCATTGAATAGAATATTTTAATTTGTTCAAGTAAATATTTTACTGTGTTCATGATAGGGGCTTAGTATCTGCAAGTGATGGGCCTTGTTAATCTTCAGAATAAGTTTAAATGACAGCTCAGCAGGGCAGCGTCTCCCATGCAGCAGCCCCTGTGGAGCAGCAGGAAGGAAGGCTCCGGAGGAAGCCGCAGGAAGCCGATGGCTCCTGTGAGAAACTGCCTGACTGATGCTGTCACGGTGTTGACCCTCTCTCTAAGAGCCCTGAGATCACACTCGCCCTTTTTACATCACCCAACAGGACTGACTTAACATCCAGGGAGGACAAATAAGGGGGAAGAATAAAATAATCCAACAAAACCAGGACAGAATGCACTCATGTCATTAATGGAGCTACATTCTTACTTTGAATGAATTACCTACATTATGTTACCTTCCTAAAGACTTACTGAAAAAAAGGTGTTCAAGGAACTAAGGGAAACCCAGGGTGGCACTTGAGGTTGCGGGTCACAGACCACACTCTGAATAGCCCTGAGGCTGGGTGCAGGGCCAGGCTGCCTGTGTGCAGATCTCCTGGCCGTGTGTTAGAGGTTGAACCATGCATCTCTCAGAATTCAAATGTTGAATTTTTATTTTATTTTTATTTATTTAGTTTTTTTGAGGCAGAGTCTCACTCTGTCACCCAGACTGGAGTGCAATGGCCCTATCTCAGCTCACTGCAACTTCCAGCTGCTGGGTTGAAGTGATTCTCCTGCCTCAGCCTCCTGAGTAGCTGGGATTACAGGTGCCTGCCACCATGCCCAGCTAATTTTTGTACCTTTAGTAGAGATGGGTTTTTGCCATGTTGGTCAGGCTTGTCTCAAACTCCTGACCTCAGGTGATCCGCCTGCCTCAGCCTCCCAAAGTGCTAGGATTACAGGTGTGAGCCACCATGCCCAGCCCATATGTTGAATTTTTAAACACTGAGTACTGCAGAACCCAGGAATTATTTGGACATAGGGTCTTTACATGGGAGTTAAAATGAGGTTGTTGTGAAGGGACCCTAATCCAATTTGACTAATATCCTTGTAAAAAGGGAAATTTGGAGACAGACACACGTAGAGGGAAGATGATGTGAAGAGATCAAAGAAGAAGACAGGTGTCTACAAAACCAGGAAAGAGGCCTGGAATAGATGCTTTGTTCATAGCCTTCAGAAGGAGCCAACCCTGCTGGCACCTTAGTGTTAGACTTCTATCCTCCAGAACTGTCAGACAAAAAATGCCCATTGTTTAAGTCACCCAGTGTGTGGCACTTTGTTATGATGTCTCTAGCAAACTAATATACCTTGTGACCTTGGCAGTTCTGTCTTCCTGCCTCTGTAAAATGCAAATATTACTGATATATTACCTCCTAGGGCTTCTGTGAAGAGGCGATGAGTTAATACATGCAAAGTGCTACAACAGTGCAGACGTAATATTAATACTCAGTAAATGTTAAGA
The DNA here is from genome assembly GCF_000001405.40 of Homo sapiens. Lineage (NCBI taxonomy): Eukaryota > Metazoa > Chordata > Mammalia > Primates > Hominidae > Homo > Homo sapiens. Next base: position 39,565,694 of record NC_000009.12, on the reverse strand, counting down.
TGATTATTAACATCAACATCATCATCACCACTGTATAAAAAAAAAGAAAATTGGGGCTGATATCTGATCTCTACAACTTTACCATGCAGCATCCCTGTCCATTGCTTTTTCTAAATTCTATTATTAACCTTGAGTGTCTTGTAATTGATCATGTTTCAACCTTTCTTTGACAGCAAGTACTCTCAGAAATAAAAGTATTACTCGGACCAAGCAATTGAACAACATATTCATGCATTTATGTTCATGTAGAAATACCAATTATACACGTTTTATTTTATTTTATTCATGACTCTATTTTGTATCTTATACTTATTTCCCCATTGAAATGAGGTGAATTAAAAATAAAAACTTTATAAATTAATTAGCTGCAAAAATACTTATTTTTGTTTGTTTTTCCAAATGGTTGCAACTTACATAGTGTAAAATACAATTCATGAAAGTGGAAAGATGCAGAAATCAGAATGGAAATGAGAACCAGCAACCTGAGAGTACCACAGAAATATTCAGTCACATCTGTGTAACCAGGGGCTGTACAGTCTTAGGTGGAGGTATTCCAGATTTTTGTTTCTTAGTTTCTGTCAGATGTAAAATGTGTATGTGGAACTATTGTGCACTTTCTTTGTTTGGTAGAGACAGTCTCTCTGTGTTGCCCAGGCTAGTCTCAAATTCCTGGCCTCAAGTGATCCTCCCACCTCAGCCTCTCAAAGTGCTGGTACTACAGGTGTGAGCCACCATCCCCAGCCTACTGTGCATTTTCTATTATTTGAAGCAAAATTGGGGCCACAAGGAAGGTCATCTGTAGTATGCCAATAACATAAACCTCTGACATTTCAGTAAAATATTGCCTTTGCCTCTGCATAGTATGCCAGCATGTTCTGCAGGGTGGGCAGCCGCAAGCAGTGGTTAGAACAGGGGCTCTAGAACCAGGGCCTGAACCTGAGGCTGTGCTCTGCTCTCCTTAATAGTGAAATCAGAGGCAAGTTGCTTGACCTTTCTGCTTTGTATTTCTGCTTTTGCCAGATGCACAATATCTGGTTTGTGGAGTTTTTTGAGGACCAAGGGAGATAGTGATTCCTATCAAATGTTTACCAGAGCCTGTGATAATCTGGGTTTTCTTCCTCCACTTCCTTCCCCTCCTTCCTTCTTCAAGATGATTCTATTTAATGGCATGTTGGAAATCATGTCAGCAGTCATGACATGCCAAGGTAAAATGAAACTTTTTTCCTTAAAAGTAGGAGAATGAGGTAAGAGATGATTTTAGAAGTTAAAGCCTACCCAAACATAAAAGGATATGATTTGTGTCACTGTCATCTAAAGTGTCTACTGCTACATTTTCCATGGGGCTGAAGTTTTGATTAAAAAGAATAATATCGTATCCCAGGTGTATCCCTAAATTGGTAACTACTTCCGAAAGTCTTTTTTAAGTTTGTACTTAAATGACTTTTTTTTAAGGATAATAGTTTTGTATTATAAAAGATAAATGCACAAAGCAGCTACATGTAAAATGTCACTTTAGGACACGCTGTTCTAACACAAATACTGTCAACATATCATTTGTGAGTGAACTGACAAGATGTCCAAGGAATGAGTTACAGTGGAGAAAATTCAACGTGCATCACAGAATAGTTACCAGCTCCTGGCCCTCCACAGATGTGGACCTAAAACCACCTGGAGGGCAGAGTCGGCTCCCTCCCGCTGTGAGTGCTTCCTAGTGAGCCAGCAGCTGAAGGCCTCCCTAGCTTCACTTCTCCAGAGCGGGCATGGAGATAACTAGTGAAAGTGGTCACAAAGTCGGGGCCAAGAAGTCTCTAACCCCTAAATCAAGATTGAGAGATACTGGACCGGGCACAGTGTCTCACACCTGTAATCCCAGCACTTTGGGAGGCCTAGGCAGGCGGATCACCTGAGGTCAGGAATTCAAGACCAGCCTGGCCAACATGGTGAAACCCAGTCTCTACTAGAAAATACAAACAAATTTAGCTGGGTGTGGTGGCAGGCTCCTGTAATCCCAGCTACTCTAGAGGCTGAAGCAGGAAGAATTGCTTGAGCCCCGGAGGCGGAGGTTGCAGTGAACCCAGATCGTGCCACTGCACCCCAGACTGGGCAACAGAGCGAGACTCAGTCTCAAAAAAAAAAAAAAAAAGAAAAAGAAAAAGAAAAAAAGATTGAGAGATACTGGAGAAATTCTTCCTTTATGCATCCCTCATCCTTGCATCAATTTTTTCCTACAAATCAGTGGAGTGTACACATATGGGGCATTATTTCACGTTAAAGGAACTAAGTCCATATACATGATTTGTTTTTTGAGAGGTGAGGTCTCACTTTGTTGCCGAGGCTGGAGTGTAGTGGTGTGATCAGACCTCACTGCGGCCTCCACCTCCCAGGTTCAGATGATCCTCCCACCTCAGCCACCCTAGTAATTGGGACCACAGGCGTGCCACTGTGCCTGGCAAATTTTTACATTTTTTTGTAGAAATGTTGTCCAGGTTGGTTTTGAACTCCTGGGCTCAAGTGATCCTCTCCCCTTGAGCTCCCGATGTGCAAGGATTACAGCTGTGAGCCACTGGGCTTGGCCAAGTAGAAATTATATCCTGCTACTAGTTGACCAAACATGATTCATAAACTATAACTAGTATGGCCGCCATTAATCTAAAAATTAATTTTTAGATTAATGTTTATTGACAGTATCTACTCTATAAAATACAAAAATAAAATATGCTTTTATGATGTGGACCATAGTATCCATAAGATTGCTTTTCTGTTTGAATTGGCTATAAAAATGGAAAAAGTATCATTTTGTAACTGTGTGGCATTTGCTCATTTATTCAACAATAATACCAGAGCGGAAAGCAACAAGTTAGGTGTGACATAATATAGAAATGGTTTTGTTTTGTTTGTTTGTTCTACATATATTATTAGTAAGGTTTCTCTAGAGTACTGTCTCTCTCTATCTCTTTCTATCTCTGTCTACACATAGACACACACACACACACACACACACACACACACAGATGTTCCTCAACTTACAATGGGGTTATGTCACAATAAACCCATCATAAGTTTGTTACAGGAAAGAGGTCCAGATCCAGACCCCAAGAGAGGGTTCCTGGATCTTGTGCAAGAAAGAATTCAGGGTGAGTTCACAGTGCAAAATGAAAGTAAGTTTATTAAGAAAGTAAAGGAATAAAAGAATGGTTATTCCATAGAAAGAGCAGCCCCAAGGGCTGCTGATTGCGGTTTTGTTTTTTTTTTTTTTGAGATGGAGTCTTGCTCTGTTGCCCAGCCTGAAGTGCAGTGGCACTATCTAGGCTCACTGCAACCTCCCCTTCCAGGGCTCAAGTGATTCTCCTGCCTCAGCCTCCTGAGCAGCTGGGATCACAGGCGTGCACCACCAGGCCTGGCTAATTTTTGTATTTTTAGTAGAGACAGGGTTTCACCATATTGGTCAGGCTGGTCTCAAACTGCCGACCTTGTGATCCACCCGCCTCGGCCTCTGAAAGTGCTGGGATTACAGGCGTGAGCCACCACACCCGGCCGGTTGCCCATTTTTATGGTTATTTCTTGAGATTTGCCAAACAAGGGGTGGATTATTCATCCCTCCCCTTTTAGACCATATAGGGTAACTTTCTGACGTTGCCATGGCATCTGTAAACTGTCATGGTGCTGGTGGGAGAGTAGCAGTGAGGACGACCAGAGTCACTCTCATCGCAATTTTGGTTTGGGTGGGTTTTGGCTGGTTGCTTTACTGCAAACTGTTTTATCAGCAAGGTCTTTATGATCTGTATTTTGTGCTGACCTCCTATCTCATTCTATGACTTAGAATGCCTTAACCATCTGGGAATGCAGCCCAGGAGATTTCAGCCTCATTTTACCCAGCTCCTATTTAAGATGGAGTTGCTCTGGTTCACTTGTCTCTGACAAGTTGAAAATGCATTTAATACACCTAACCTACTGGACCTCATAGCTTAGCTTAGCCTACCTTAAATGTGCTCAGAACACTTACATTAGCATACATTTAGCCTATGTTTGGGCCAAATCATGTAACACAAAGCCTATTTTATAATGAAGTGTTGAATATTTAATGTAACTTATTAAATACTATGTTGAAAGTAAAAAACAAAATGCAATCTTTATTATTTTAGCTAAAGTAATTGTCAATTTATTAAATAAAAACAAAACAGCCCACACCATCATTAGCTGCAAAATCATTTTGAACCATTGTAAGTTGGGGACTGTCTAAAGAATTGAGAATTGGCTCAAGTAATGACAGAAGCTGATTAGTATGGAAATTTGAAGTCAGCAAGTTGGAGACCCAGCAGAGGTAAGGTATAGTCCAAAAGCTTGCAGCCTTGAGGCTCAAGAAGAGCCAATGTTTTCGTTCATTTAAGAAGGTAGGAAAAGACCAATGTCCCAGTTCACACAGTCAGGCAAAAGGAGCTCCCCAGTACTCACGGGAGGGTCAGCTGTTTCGTTCTATTCAGGCCTCCCACCAAGAGGATGAGGACCATCCATATTGGGGAGTGCAGTGGGCTTCACTCAGCTAGAGATTCAAATGTTAATCTCATTCAGAAAACACCCTCACAGACACACAGAATAATGTTTGACCAAATATCTGAGCCACCCTGTGGCCCAGTCAAACTGATAGTTTTTCCTTAGGTTATCTCCAGTGTCATTTAAATATTAATATTTATAGTATATTATATATTGATGTAAATATTAACATTTATTACCCAGGGGTTGCGTTCTCTTGATAATGTTCTATTTTTTTAATCTCTGTGAAAAAATGTTTTATGAAGTGTGGAATTTATCTGCTACACTGACATATTCTGCATTAATCTTTCTCTATTTTGTGGTTGTCAATCACTGGTACAGTTTCAGAGAGCAGGAAATGAAGATTCAGCCTTTAACTCCTACACAATCCACAGTGTTTTTTTCCCCTCAGAACTGTCATAAAAACTGTTGTATTTTATTTAGATTTTTAAATTAACAACTAAATCCATATTCTAGTAATACTTTAATAATCTAGATTTCATATTTTTAGAGTAGAAGGCTGCATCATATTTAAAATCACTGCAGAGACTTTGAGGTTTTCAAATTAATATCATATTAAAAATTTTTGCACTCTGAAGGCTTTCATTTATTGCTTTAAAAAAATGTTGAAACTCAGAGTTCAAATGATTTAAAAAACTCTACATCTAGATACAGTTAATGTAAACTTTGTATATCTCTGTAATGATTTTCACTGCCCCTCATTATCAATCAAGAGCATTGAGATAAGGACTGGAAAATATTAAATATATATGTTAATATTTATATAAACATATTAAATGTGTGTGTGTGTCACACATACACACACACACACAGAGCAAGAGAAAGAGCAAGAGAGGGACAGTAACTGTCTTCAGAATATCAAAAGTTCTGCTAATCGGCTCTTTTGCAGAAGCTTGTCCTCACTCTCCCCATAGGGGAAAGAGAATGAGCTTAAAGACAGAACTTCCTGCTGAATTAATTAAATATATCCATTACTACTGACAGAATCAGTGAGGTTAAGCCCCTCTGAAGAGGACAAGATAAATTGTCACTATTATGGCACTAGAAATGAGATACTGGGATAAGATTTCATTACCGTATTATCATAGGTTTACTTAATTGGCAAAGTTTCACTTAAGAAGGATGCAGAAATTCTGAACACAAGTTAGCATTTCTAGCACGATGGTACAAGATGTGTTATTAAGTAAGTCAAAGATGCCATAAACGCAAATTTCAAGGAATGGCGTAAGGCCGGGGTGGTGGCTCACACCTGTAACCCTAGCACTTTGGGAGGCTGAGGCAGGTGGATCACCTAAGGTCAGAAGTTCGAGACCAGCCTGACCAACGTGGTGAAACCCCGTCTCTACTAAAAATACAAAATTAGCTGGGCGTGGTGGTGGGTGCCTGTAGTCCCAGCTACAAGGGAGGCTGAGGCAGGAGAATCGCTTGAACCCGGGAGGCAGAGGTTACAGTGAGCCAAGATCGCACCACTGCACTCCAGCTTGAGCAACAAGAGTGAGACTCTGTCTAAATAAATAAATAAGTATAAAAGGATGGCAGGAATGCAAAACTCGGTGCACAGTGCGCTGCAGTGCCGCCTGCTGTCTGATGGAAACATCACAAAGACACAAGCACAGACTAAGAAAAAAAGTTTTAAAAGTCAAAGGGATAGGTAAGTAAAAAATTGAATGCAATATGTAGGAAATGCTGCTTTCTTATTTTTATTTTTATTTTTTATTTATTTATTTATTTATTTTTGAGACAGAGTCTCTCTCTGTCGCCCAGGCCGGAGTGCAGTGGTGCGATCTCGGCTCACTGCAAGCTCTGCCTCCCGGGTTTACACCATTCTCCTCCCTCAGCCTCCCAGAAATGCTGCTTTTTAAAAGTGGCCACTCTTATGCTAATAAAGTCATCCATGAGACAAGAACGTGGTTAAAATATAATAGCGCATACTGAAAGCAATACTGCTTTGTCCAAGTCAGTCCCATTAGTCCTGGCATGATTTCTATAGCACTCCTTTCAAATAAAGAATGTCCCAATTTGAATGAAGAAAACTATATAATCATCCTAATCATGATAGCAAGATTAAGTCATCATTTGTAGTAAAATCTTACAACAGATTGTGATTGGCTGTGTAGTGACAAAATAATTGGAAAGTGGCAAATAAAACTGGTCATAGAGGGTCTTAGACTATATTTGTTGCCTTGAAGACATGATGGGAGAATTAAACTTAATAAATGACCTCGTCCTAGATGAAATATCCTTCTTAGACCAAATATTTCTGCAAGGTATGGATTGAATCTTCATACCAAGTCCAACGAATTTTTGTCCTGCTGGAAATAATTGAGAAGGAAATTAACAGGAATTAAGGTGAGATGAACAAGGTGAGTTGCAAAAGTGCAGGCTCAGATCCTGCTGTCTAAATTTTAATATTTGCTCATGGTGACTTTTTTGCATTAATTTTAATATTTTTAAATAACGTATTAAAACATTATTTATTTTGATTGCTAAGTTTTGTGCTTACCCATTTAATTGTGTTCCTAAGGGGAGTACCTCACTTACCTCACCTTGTAACAGATTCTATGCAAGGTATACCTGGGATTAGATATAAAGTCAATGAAGTCAGAACTGTGATATGGGGGTTTCCATTCCAGCTACCTGAAACTGAGGTTGCCCTATCTTAGTGAGTTCAAAGCTGGAGATTCTGTAAATAGACACGGGGACTGTGAGGTCCCTGCACAAAGAGGTCATATCTGTAAATTAAACTTCGTGATTATAATAATTTTTTTTTTTTTGAGACAGAGTCTTGCTCTGTCACCCAGGCTGGAGTGCAGTGGTGCAATCTCAGCTCACAGCAACCTCCACCTGCTGGGTTCAAGCAATTCTCCTGCCTCAGCCTCCAGAGTAGCTGCGATTACAGGTGCACACCACCACACCCGGCTAATTTTTTAATTTTTACTAGAGATGGGGTTTTGCCATGTTGGCCAAGCTGGTCTTGAACTCCTGACCTCAGGTGATCTGCCCGCCTTGGCTTTGAGAACAAGAACACCATGTCTGCTGGTGTGTTAGTCGATTTTGTGTTGCTATAAAGAAATATGTGAGGCTGGATAATTTATAAAGAAAAGAGGTTTATTTGGTTCACAGTTCTGCAGGCTGTACAAAAAGTGTAATGACAGTATCAGCTTTTGCTGAGGCCACAGGAAGCTTACAATCATTGCAGAAGGCAAAGTGGGAGCTGGTGTATGACATGGTAAGAGAGGGAACAAGAGAGATGCCAGACTCATTTATTTATTTATTTATTTATTTATTTATTTATTTATTTGAGACAGAGTCTCACTCTGTAGCCCCAGCTGGAGTGCAGTGGTGCGATCTTGGCTCACTGCAACCTCTGCCTCCAAGGCTCAAGCAATTCTTGTGCCTCAGCCTCCCGTGTAGCTGGGACTACAGGTGCACTCCACCAGGCCTGGCTACTTTTTTGTATTTTAGTAGAGGCGGGCTTTCACCATGTTGCCCAGGGTGGTCTCGAACTCCTAAGCTCAATCAATCCGCCGGCCTCAGCCTCTCAAAGTGCTGGGATTACAGGCGTGAGCCACTGTACCCCGCCTAGACTCCTTTAAACAACCAGCTTTTGCATGAACTAATGCAGGGAGGACTTATTCGTTACCATGAGGAAGGCATCAAACCATTCATAAGGTCTCCACCCCCATGATACAAACACCTCCCACCAGGGCCTACCTCCAACATGGGAATCACATCTTAACATGAGATTTGGAAAGAACAAACATCCAAACTATATCTATCTATCTATCTATCTATCTATCTATCTATCTATCTATATATATATATTTTTTTTTTTTTTTTTTTTTTTTTTTTGAGATGGAGTCTTGCGCTCTCACCCAGGCTGGAGGGCAGTGGCACGATCTCGGCTCACTGCAAGCTCCGCCTCCCGGGTTTATGCCATTCTCCTGCCTCAGCCTCCCGAGTAGCTGGGACTACAGGCGCGGGCCACCATGCCCGGCTAATTTTTGTATTTTTAGTAGAGATGGGGTTTCACCATGTTAGCCAGGATGGTCTCCATCTTCTGACCTTGTGATCCGCCCGCCTCGGCCTCCCAAAGTGCTGGGATTACAGGCGTGAGCCACTGCGCCTGGCCATCTAAACTATATCTGCTGGTGGTTTGCCCTAAGCTTTTCTCCCCTAAGTTTCTTTTTTCAGAAATAAAGTTTGTCTTTATCTGATGTCAGCAGATTGGTGTTTGCTTTTGCCTGCTGTATTCCTTTAGTTTTTAAAATAGTCCAAATTCCTCACCCTTCCCTGAAAATGTTGCTCTTACGTTGACATAATATGTCTAGTTTCATTCAGCAGTTAATATTATAATATAGTACTCAGATTAGAGTTTGCAGCTGTTGTCGTTAAATTTAGGTCATTCTAAATTTACAAGTTAGTTGGGAAGAAAACAACCGCAAATTCTCAACCCTCATCACCATTTCTGCTCTCAGTGCTCATATGAAGTCACTACAGAAAAAGACGGAATGCAGCAATTAAACAAGCTCATCTGTAACACGATTAATTTTTAACTCTTTAATTCACTTGTTTCGCATAGGAAACTACATTAACATGACAGGTTTTTGTTTTTTTTTTTTTTTTTTTGAGACGGAGTCTCTCTCTTCTCCCAGGCTGGAGTGCAGTGGCGCCATCTCGGCTCACTGTAAGCTCCGCCTCCCGGGTTCACGCCATTCTCTTGCCTCAGCCTCCTGAATAGCTGGAATTACAGGCTCCTGCCACCACGCCTGGCTAATTTTTTGTATTTTTAGTAGAGACGGGGTTTCACCATGTTAGCCAGGATGGTCTTGATCTCCTGACCTCGTGATCCGCCCGCCTTGGCCTCCCAAAGTGCTGGGATTACAGGCGTGAGCCACCGCGTCCGGCCATGACAGTAATTTTTGAAAATGCATTGGCACAGCATTCAAGAAGAGGAAATCGGACCCATGGTCTCTAAAGGACTTCCCAGCAATAATGTGCTGGGCTGTTCAGAATTATCACTGAGAAAAGGCTATGCCCATGTGCACAACTGACCTGACCTCATGTGCACATCAGTTCACCTCAACCACCATCCCGTCTGCTAAAATAAGTCACATTGGTTGCCTCCCAAAGTTCTCTATTCAAACCAGTAAACTCAGTTAAATAGGTTGTGAATAGGAAAATCCAAAAGTCACTGGGAAAAGATGTTATAAACTAAAATATTCATAGAAACATTTTTTTATGAAAGCCAAAAAAGGAAAAATAAACAACTAAGATGCCTAAAAACCAAAAAATGGATGAATAAAATGTGGCAGATGCATTCAGTGGAATATCATATAGCAGTGAAAATTAAGGACATTAATTACATGTATCAGCATGCCTGAATCTCAAAAACTCAAGTTGAACAATAATAGCTTTTAAAAAATCACAGAGTTAATATGTATGTTCCAAGTCTACGAAGTCTTCAAAAAGAGGAAAAACAGGCCAGGCACAGTGGCTCATGCCTGTAATCCCAGCACTTTGGGAGGCCGAGATGGGCGGATCACGAGGTCAGGAGATCAAGACCATCCTGGCTAACACGGTGAAACCGTTTCTACTAAAAAAACAAAAAAATTAGCCAGACGTGGTGGCGGGCGCCTGTAGTCCCAGCTACTCGGGAGGCTGAGGCAGGAGAATGGCATGAACTCGG